>NC_000011.10:38696363-38847878 GCF_000001405.40 Homo sapiens | reverse complement strand
TTCATCATTACCAATCACCAGAGAGATGCAAATCAAAGCCATGATGGCATAACGTCTTACACCAGTCAGAGTGGCTACCATTTAAAAAGTCAAAAAATAACAAATGTTGTCAAGGTTGCAGAGAAAAGGGAACGCTGTTCACATGTTTTCACTTGTAAGTGAAAGCTAAACATTGGATACACATGGACATAAAGATAAGAACAATAGACATTGAGGATTCCAAAAGGTGGGAGGGCAGGAGGAGGGCAACAGTCAAAAAGCTGACTATTGAGTACTATGTTCACTACTTGGGTGATGGAATCATACCAAGCCAAAACTTCAACATGTACCCCCTGAATCAATATTAATTTGTTTTTTTTTTAAATATAACCTGGGCAGGTGGATGGTGTTGACAGATATCAAATTATTTTACATTTCTAATGATCAGAATAAATAGAATTGACACAAAAGTAGTTTTTGCCTCAAAACTCAAATGGTTCTACTGAATAAAGACATGAATATATATATGTGTATATATATATATGTATGTGTATATATGTATTTTTGACAGAGTTTCACTCTTGTCACCCAGGCTGGAGTGCAATGGCACGATCTCGGCTCACTGCAACCTCTGCCTCTTTTCTAGCGATTCTCCTGCCTCAGCCTCCTGAAGTAGCTGGGATTACAGGCGCCTGCCACCACGCCCAGCTAATTTTTTTTTTTTTGTATTTTTATTTGGGATTGGGTTTCACCATGTTGGCCAGGCTAGTCTTGAGCTCCTGACCTCAGGTGATCCACTGGCCTTGGCCTCCCAAAGTGCTGGGATTACAGGCTTGAGCCACAGCGCCAGACCAGACATGAATATTTTTTAAAAAATACCAGAAATTGTTGTTTAATGTTTTTAAACTATTGTTGACCACTTTGCTAAGTATTTTTAAATTATATTACCTCCAATATTCCATAAATGTCATACAGAATTTTTAAAGAAGGATTACATGCTTTTATTTATTTATTTATTTGAGACAGCGTCTCGCACTGTCGCCCAGGTAGGAGTGCAGTGGCGAGATCTCGGCTCAAGGCAAGCTCCACCTCCTGGGTTCACGCCATTCTCCTGACTCAGCCTCCCGAGTAGCTGGGACTACAGGCGCCCCCCCACCACGCCCAGCTAATTTTTTTGTATTTTTATTAGAGACGGGGTTTCACTGTGTTAGCCAGGATGGTCTTTATCTCCTGACCTCGTGATCCGCCCAACTTGGGCTCCCAAATTGCTGGGATTACGGGCCTTTCTTTCATTTTTAAGAGTTATAAAAGCCAATTAAATGTCCTTGTTTTACCATTCCCAAAACCTAGAAGCAATTTGTCCCTTAATTGCTCTTTGAATAGTCACAGATTCATCTCTTCCACTTTCAAAGTATCTTCCTTCCATATATTCTGTCTTACTAGTGTTCCTATCTCATTCTCAACTCTAATGATGATGTAACTCTACCATTTTCTTTTTCTCATCACTGAAAGTCATCATGTCCTAGCAACTGTCCCTCAACTTACTGTCCTACTGACTTTTGTTGAGCCATCATATTCACTGCATCAACTGGTCACTCTATGACCTGAACATTGAGGTTAGAAATATTAACTTAAAATACTTTATATGTTTGATGATTATCCCCTGTTTAATGCCAATACTTTTATCCATTCTTCAGTCTAATAAAAAAAAAAAAGGTGTAAGTTCTTTATGTAACTGGGCACTTCATGATCTACTCTTAATTTTTATTCTCAGCCTCCATAATAATTTAACATCATTTGTTTTTCTTTCTTTCTTTAAATTTCTGAATTATTTTCTCCCTGCCTAGGAAGCTTCCATTTAGATGATTCCTCATCAGTCATGCCCTTAGGTAGAGTTTATTGCAAATATATACATATATATAAAAATAATAACCTAGTTTTAATTTTAGAAAAGTTTTAGATTTTTGGAAAATGGTGAAGATAGCTCAAAGAGATCCCATATATCCCACATCCAATTTCCCATATTGTTAACATCTTATATTAGTATAGTATTTTTTCTACAATTAATGATCAATATTTATACATAACTAACTCAAATCCATACTTTATTCACATGTACTTAGTTATTATCTAAGGTACTTTTTCCTGTTCCAGGATCTCATCTAGGTTAACACATTACATTTAGTTGTCAAGTCTCTTTAGGCTCTTATTAATTATAATGTTTCTCAGACTTCCTTGTTTTTAATGACCTTGACAGCTTTAAGGAATATTTATAAGGTATTTTGTAGGATGTCCCCCAGTTGGGATTTATCTGTCATTATTCTCATGACTATATTGAAGTTATGAATTTTGGGTGAGAAAACACCTCTCTAGTTGCAATGTCTTACCTCATCATATCCAGGGTACATACTATGCAGTTTTCATGTTGACCTTCATTGTCTGATTGAAGTAGTGTTTGTCAAGATTCTCCACTATATGCTTTTTTTCTTGTTTCCATAACTTTTTGGAAATCATTATGTGCTGCTCCACAACTTTAAAGACAGAGTCTCAAAATACATTAGTAGCAATTCTTCTATATAAGAGATTTGTCTATTCTTCTTCAATTATTAAAGCATTTATTTATATCAGCTTGGATTTATGGGTATCTGTTTTACTTATAACGTTATTGATATGGTTTGGCTCTGTGTACCCACTGAAATCTCATCTAGAACCGTAATCCCAAAGTGTTGAGGGAGGGATCCAGTGGGAGGGGATTGGATCATGGGGGCAGTTTTTCCCATGCTGTTCTCAAGGATAGTAAGTAAGTCTCACAACATCTGATGGTTTTATAAATGGCAATTTCTCCTATGCTTGCTCTCTTGCTGCCTTGTGAAGAAGATGCCTGCTTCCCCTTTGCCTTCCACAATGATTCTAAGTTTCCTGAGGCCTCCCCAGCCATGCAGAACTGTGAGTCAATGAAACCTCTTTTATTATAAATTACCCAGTCTCAGGCATTTCTTTATAGTAGTGTGAAAATGGACTAATACAATTATCTTATTTATTTTCTTGCTCAAATTATCTAGATTTGGTCATTGGGCACTTTCTTGGTTAGTTTCAGTGTCTCTTTCACATTCTAACACCATTATGTCTGTGTGTGAGTGGCATTTTTATTTACTTGTTTGAGCACATCCTTACTTTCTGGAACAACAAGAGGCCCTGGGCTCATCTTGTGTTTTTCTTATCCCTTGTCTTAAATTCAGACATTTTTTTCAAGAAGCCCTGGTTCCCTTTTTTGGGGAATGGTATTAGAAACAAATATCTGGGTGCTAGATATGCGTATTGCTACTGGAATCTCATTGCTTCTAGGCTCTCTAAACAGAGAGAGCAGGGAGATATATGTGTGGATACTAACCCACTGTCTGACATATAATAGGTCATTTTTTAAATGAAGGCAAGATTGAGTGAAAGAACAAAATAATTTTATGTGATGAATAACTTCAAAGGTAATTGGAGTAATCATGTGTTGAGGAATAAGACTATAGTGACAGTTTGTTTTGCATTATGTTAAGTGTCCAGTACATTGGGACTGGATTTTTCCTAACCTCACATTAATATCCTTTATTCAAAGATTTGTCCTTTGAAATATGTTCCAATATTCACTAGGGCCATCTATTGACAAATTAATTTATAAGAAGAAATTAATTTTACCCCATATGTAATAATGTAGAAACAAATGTTCCTTACTTTAACAAAAGATTCTATCCCTTTCAATCAGGTATGAGTGACAAATTATTTTGAAGCCAATAAATATTTTTGAACAATACTTTCTAATTTAGAATATAAGTGCTGGGCTATATATTATTTGTGGATGTGATGAGACAATATTAATAGTAAATATATTGAGGGCAGTATATGAAGAAGACACGTATGATGTTACAACATAAATAAATCAATACACATTTAGTGAATTACTTATTGTTCAACACATTAGACTATATTACTTACATAAAAATTGTTAAGGTATTTAATTTTTACTTCAGAGACTAAAATTAACAACAAAGTAATTTTAAGAAGTTGCCTAGTATCTCTTATCTGTTAAGTGTCAGGCCTGTGTTTAAAATTTTGAAGCCAGGGTTTATTTTTATACTTCAAACAGGCCATTTACATCAAGTGTAAGTTTGATCAGAGTTAATTGTTTAATTCAATTAGTTTTCATTAAAACCAAAATCTAAGTTCTTTCAATGATATAGCTATCCTACTTTATATCTCATTACTGAATTACCTTCCTTTTATGTGTGGCACCTTATAGCAAAATGTGATATAAATAGACTAAGCAATGATGCAGAAGAAACCTAAAAAGAGCAAATTTGTCAGAATATATCATAATCATATAAGATGATTCATTTACTGATTTTCTTTTTACCTCAACTATATCTATAATGTCAATTTTTCTCCTAAACCCTGAGGGAATTACAAGTTGTTTTCAATGTCAATGCTTCACTTCCCACATAGGCCCATTCTTTTAGAAATAACACTAATGGAAGCAGAAGAAAGTGACTTAGAGATTCTCGAATTTGTGGTATGTGAAAATTTATTCCCAAACTCATCTCTTGCCTTTTTTGCCAAGATTCTGGACTTTCATGTACTTTCTGCTGACTTTTTGAAATTTATATTCTTTTCTCTTACTCTTTCTGAGATAGAACTTGGATGGATGTCTACTTCCAACAGTAAATCAGTTGCTCTATGCACAAAGAACATTTGTTGCAGTAAATATTTTTCCTCGATTCCTGAGCAAAATCTGAGCCAAGCATTAGTTAGGCTTGGGAAATGACATGAGGTTGATGCCACTGGAATGTTTTATATTGATTGAAAAATGTGGAAGACAAATGTTTGTTACTGAATCAGTTGGAGAAATATGATTTGCCTAGGCCCTGCTGTTATAAGACAGCTACCAACTTTCAAATTGCTATGACAATAAAAGGGAAGAAATTATTGAAAGGAAAGTCTAACCAATTTTTAACACATTAACCATGAGCTATGAGTTTGTCCATTTCTATAATTTTAGAAAATAGATTATAGTCATTCATTGATCCTAGTGAGAGGAGTGGCATAAACATTGTCATTATAATATTTTATGAAGAAACACAGACTAGCTCTTGTACCTTGGCACCATTGTGAATGCATTAGAAAGGTTTCCAGATTCTTTTTTCTGCTTTTTAGTGATCAAGGTGAGATATAAAAAGAAATTAATCTAAGTGACTTAAATGGAGAAGAAAGGCTTTATTCGGTTGATATAGATCAGGAAGCACCTGCATACAAGTTGACTCCCGGAAGAAACAGTGACAGGATTTTTATAGGATACGGGATAGTTGCTCACCTGTCTAGCAGTTTTGGTTCAAGCAGTTTTGTTTTGTTTTGTTTTTTACTTAACCAAAACACCCACATTTTTGTGGACTATTCATGTTTTCATATTCATTGCTGAGAGCCCTGATAAACATCAGAAAAATGTTTTCTGAGAATCATTTTGCAAGCCTTGCAGTCAATCAGCTAATCAAGGTGAGGGACAGAGGTCACTAACAAACCTGTGCATTCTGCACATGTACCCCAGAACTTAAAGTAAAATAAAAAAAAGTAATAAATTTTTTAAAAAAGAAAAGGGGGCAAATGTAGAAAGCAAGAGAGGAGCTGGGGCCTGCCATCATGTTTGCTTTTCTTTTTACTGAGAAAAGGTAAAATTCTTCTCTTCCCTTGAAAAATACATAGCCTTCTTTGGTGGAACTGAGGTAGGTCAAACCATCAAAGCTTGCTTTTGTTTTAAAGACTGGGAAGAATGTTTACTCATTCTCAGTGGAGACTTTCTCACTCTTGTCACTCTACTCATTTTATGGTGGATTCCCCAGAAGTAGATACTGACATAATGACTTTGTGAAAGTGATTACAGGAAATGTTCACAGGACAAAACCAGAAGAAACATGAAGAAATAAGATTTCCATGTGAGTAAACCAAGTTTTCGGTGTCTAAAAAAGTCCTACAGAAATAAATTTTGGCTCGATTTCGCAGGATAGGCATGGAGAGAGTGATGATCACACATTAATCAGGAGACAAGAAAACTTGGGTTTATATCTTTTAATAGGCGACTCGGTGGTTAACCTCTAACTCCAGTGGATGTACAAATGTAGACACTCCCACTCACAGTACCTACAGGTAAAGTGATTTGGGGTAGCCTGAGTGCAGTTCTAGTGAAAGGATACCCACGTGCTGGGATTATCTAGTATGTGGTGAGGGGAGCGACAGCCAGTGAGCACAAAAGTAATAAAGGAAAACTATGGGACTTTCCACTTTCTATTCAAATACAACAAAAACTCAAAAAAAATTATTTTATAAGGTATCTTACTGGAAAAACTAAATTGGAGAATAAAACATGGCCTAATATCTCCCTTTAGCAACATAGAATTTGAGACCTTCATAATCCAAAATAACTTATTTAATTGCAACAGGTAAGATACAGCAATAGAGTGAGATCTAGGCCAGAGGTTGGAGGGTCTTGTTTTTGTAGTACTTACTGGAAACACAGTATTCATCTCTTTTTCTCGTATGTAAGGAAGAATTAAGAAAATGGAGGTAAAAACGGGTACCCCTCAGAATTTTTGATAGTCTAGAAACGATGGTGGGACTTCCTTTTCTTTTGGCCAACATGAAAACTAGTTTTCATTTTACATAGGAGATAATTCATGTACACAGTGGTTTAATGGTTTTCAAATGACAAGTGGTAGAGCTTCAATTTTGACCAGGAATTCTACCTCCAGGATCAATACTCTTAACCACTATGCTGTATTGCCTTAGTGAAGTTGCCAGAAAGTACAGAATTAAAAAATTATTCCTTTCCTCAAGGACCCTTCTTTAACCAGATTGGTTCATTCTGACACCAAAAGATACCTTAATTTCCCTTGTTGAAATACTGATATGGAAGACATACTTGTTTCAGTGAATGTAAAGTATCATATTTTGTAGAATTTCAAAAACTTTGGAGAAAGTGCAGCAAGTGGAAAACCTTCTTGATTCAAAAACAGATAGACTAATGTTTAGCTTAGTTTTGTGATATCCAATGAAGGATGAGATCTGGAAACAACAATTTTAAATGAAATCATTAAATCATGCTAAAGATTGTATCAGAATGTGAAAAATATTGTGTCACTATTTTTCAAGTAATATTCTGTGATGCACCAAGAAGATGTGTTTTTCCCTAGGCATGATCTCTATGGCAAAGTGTAATATATCTGAAGTTTGTGAATTTTCCTTTCCCCTAATCTATTCTAAAAGACTTCTCTTTAAATTCTCCCTTTAAAAAATATTATATACTGTGCTACTACTAAATAATTTTATGATACTGATATAGTCATAAGGAGAAGACTTGTCTTCTTTAAAGAAGAGCTTTAAAGAAGACTTGTCAAGTTTCAGAGTTAAAGCTCATCTGTCTAATTCACTTTGATTTTATAAATGAAGAAAATAAGGTTAACTGACATGACCAATATCACATTAGCTTAGTATTGAAATTAATATCAATCTCTCTCTAGCTCAGTTATTTTCAACTGGGTGATTTTGTACTCCCAGGGACATTTGAGAAAGTTCAGAGACATTTTTGATTGTCATAACTTGGGAAAAATGTTGCTACTGCTATCTGGTGAGTGGAGGTCAAGGATGCTGTGAAACATCCTACAAAGTACAGGACATCTTCCCACAGCAAAAACATTATTCAGTCCAAAATGTTAATAAGCCTGAACCTCAGAGGTTAAGAAAATCTAGATGATAACAGTGTTAGATAAGCAAATGCATATGTTGAAACAAATTGTAATTGCTTACATAATGAAAATATGTCCTTGTTCAACTGAATTCTGAAGCAACTATTCCTGATTGGGAGAATCTCCTTCAAGCTATGGTTCAGATTCCCAGGTATATTAGTTATCTAAAGCTATGGCACAAGTTACTCCTAAATGTAAGTAACCCCAAAATGTAAGTGGATTAACAGTAGCGATAACAACACATGTACTATATCTTACAGTTTCTGTGGGTCAGAAATTTGGAAGCAGCTTGGCTAGGCAGTTCTAACTAAGCATTTCTCATGAGGAGTCACATATTGGCCAGGGATGTAGTCATCTGTGAGCCTGATGAAGGATGAAAGCTTTCAGTAGCTTCCAAGGGACTCACTGACATAGCTGGCAATTGATGCTGACTGTTGGCAGTTTTCTCATTACACCCCACATGGGCTTCTCCATGGGGTTTCTTGAGTGTCACCATGAAATCCAAGTAGAAGAAGCAAGTCAAGAAACAAAAGTGGGAGTTGCATTGCAGTTTTTGATACAGTCTTAGAAGTCACACAACATCACTTCCACAGTATTGTATGTGTCACACAGTTCAGCCTTGATTCAATTTGTGAAGGGACTACACAAAAGCTTGATTATCCAGATGTGATAATCATTGGAAGTGTTCATTACTGCAGATTATTGCACATCATTACTTCCATTGTGTCTTCACTATATTCTACCTAAGACTTCGGAGATCACCATTGGTGCATCTCTATCCCAACCACCACGAAGAAGACAAAGATGGAGAATACCACATGCAGGAGAGTTTTGGGCCAGAACTTGCAGCTGTTCACATTCTTTCTTGGTAAACAAAAACCATGGCATGCATGGAAAATGGAGTTGATCTATGTGCTCAGGAAGAGGAGTGAACAAATATTGCAAAGTACCTGCCAGTCTCTGACATACTTCCAGAAGGTTACTTAACACATTTTAGGCAATATCGTGCAAAAATGCTATTCTCAAAATAAGGAAGATATGGAAATATAATTGGGAGAGGAAAATATAATTAATAATCAGAATGAGAGTCACTATTCAATGAGTATATTATACAATTTGGTGTCACATAATTCCTATTTTTATTGTAACATAGTAAAAGTATTTTTACTTCTTCTAAACGTTAATTTAGAAGGATAGCAAACTAACAGCAGTTAAGTACTTTTTTGTGCTTTATAATGTGCAACACATTTGACAGACTTAGTGCTATGTTATTCTTACATCAGACTCAAGAAATAACTATTATAATTCTTATGCTACATATGAGGAAATAGACTAAAAATTCAAGTATATTACCAAAAGTGATATGGCTAATAAGTAAAATATACAAAATTCAAGACTAGGTTGGTCTCAACCTAATATCCTTGAAGAAGGTATTTTCCGTTATACCACCAAATTGCTATTAGTGTGTTCTGTGCTTCCTTAAAAAGATATGTGAGGGTTTATAAATGTTATTTACTTATTTTTTTTAGAAATTCCTTTACAGACAATTACTCACACATTCCAGATCTGTCTAAAATTGCAGACTTTTCTTTAACCTTGTACAGAAGGACATAATGCAAAATAACAGAAAACCCTGGCCTCCAAATAGCATTGTGTTAGAGTGCTCTTATCTTATTTGGAAGCATTTTTGGAGAGTGATTTCATGCATGCAAATAAAGTAGTGCATAAACAAAGAAATTTAGCTATAGAATATTTAAATTATATCAGCCAGAAGCCACAAATACTTCTTTAAAGGACAGATTGCAAAGAAATCTACTAGAAGCCAAAATATTCTCTTTAAAAGAAGTCTTTTAGACACACGGCACATTTCCTTGCTTATTTCCCATAAATTTTGTGTGACAAACCACTCAGTGTCATCGTTCAGTGCTTGAAAAGGTATTTTATGATCAAGTGATGATTACTTTAGGGTGATGAGATTTGAAAGGTATGCAAATGTGCTCTTTGATGGAGGAGCCATTTACCTATGAAAAGCAACATTACTAGAAAACTGATATGTTTAAGAAGTAAATGGCAAACCAAGTGAGCCCACAGTATTTGGCTGTTTCTTCAGCAGCAATATATCCAGAAACATCCAATGCTAGGATCAGAACATGGTAATGTAGTTAAACACTGGAAAAGTCCATCATTTTTCAATCTTAGCAGAGAGCTAAATTGGGTCTAAAACATACACATTAAGACACATAAGAACGATTGTCTCTGAATGCTCACAGACTTCTGATCTCTTTTTATTGCTCCTCTATTAACTTCAATTCAACAAAGATGCCTTTTTGTTACGTTTGCTGGTGCTTTAGCTATGCTTTTTTTCTTTTTGAGGTGGCGGCTATTTTCATTATTGCAAACTGGACTTATCTAACTTTGCATGTATTAATAGTTTACATGAATACTCTTATTTTGGAAGTTTATATTTTTTAAATTTTAACTTTTATTTTAGATACAGGTGGTATATTTTTATGTATTCTACATTAAAATTATTTCTTAATATATTGGGAATGAATTCTCAGGTGTTTTGGAACTGCAGTTAATTTGTGGGAAGTAGAGGAGTTTCTAGCCCTTTCCTCTCTTTTCATTTGCATTTTCTTGGTAATGACCATCCTTCTTATCACCACCATCACCAATTAAAGGTGCTTATTTGGTTGGAAAGCTAGCCTAAGACCTGTTTCTTTCTCTACCACAACCTTCTCTCTCTTTTGCTTTACTTTTGTAGATAAATGAAATAAAATAAACATATTCCAGAAATAAAATGCTAGATATATCCATTAATTAAATACTGTTTACATATAATTCTAGCCTAAAGATTCCCTATGGAATTCTTACTAAAGACTTCTGGCTCTTATCCTATTATGCAGCAAAGTCCAAAGTTCTGGGTAAGATAGATAAATAACTTTGTGCATCTTCACTGATAATTGTGTGTAATTAGTGATCCTGTGGGTGAAATTCAAAAGGCTGAAGAGAATGCGCCCGAGTCAATGCCCTTTTTCATTTTTTGTTTAAAAGCCTTAATGTACTTTTTAAGGCACACAAGTTTTAGCAATAAATAACAATATATAAACAATTTCAAAGAAGAAAACATTTACCCACATCTAATCATCAGGAAAGATAAACTGTTGACATGACAATCGCTTTTAAAATCATGGCCCTATGATTGTATGTATATGTATATATATACACATATACAAGCACACACATCTCATACTATACAAGTAACATTGTGAACATTTTCTATACATTGTATAAAGAATGTATAGCATATACATTGTGTATATGCTGTACACAAAATTTTGTCTCAAGAAATATGCATATATATACTTTTTAATGGTTGTATTATTTTGTACGAATTCACTTTAAAATATTTAATCAATTCTCTACGGAAAGATATCTGTAATGAAGCTTAGAGAAGCAACTACTTAGGTCATGCAGCTGATGAGTATTGAAAAAGAAAAATAAAATTTGTTTTTTCTGTTTTTAAATCCCATGCTGCTGCCACTACAGAACATTGGCTTACTTTTTTCACACAGCATTTCCAATTATTTCTATGCATGTCATTGACCCAGACAAATCACTCTAAGTTCTAAAAACAAGGTTAATGTTGCAGGTTAAATAACTCATTCATTTTGGCTTTGTCATCCATTTGAAAGAAGGCCCTTTCCAACATATTTGTAGCTCCCTGTGCTTACTATGTGAAAACATTACATAAAGACTTCTTGTTTTACGTAATTTTGAAAGTTGGCATGGAAAGTTCCACTATACAAATGCCCCCAGCTGCATTGTTAGAAGCATTAGCCGTAGGCTTAGCTTGCGTTGAACAAAAATGAGCAGTTAACAACAATAAAACAAAGCTCTCCAGTCATCTGGCATTGTGTAAACCCAGTCATAAAGTGCATGTTATGATGTAACACCCACTGGGCCTAATTATTCCCTTTTATATACAGAAAAGCACAAGCTGTGCAACCTTTAGGAGTATTGACTACTCGGAAAGGCTTCCATTCCTCTCTCCTCCCACTCCCTGCCCACAGTAGAAATTGTTCCATCAAGCCTCCATTCTGCTAGGAGAGAGAATAGAATCTTTGGTAATTGATAGTCTCTGTTCTGGCATAGAGTAGAGCAAAGCCTGCAATTGTCACCCCTCTGCTCAGACACATTTAATGGATTCTCAGTGCCAAGAAGTTAAAATCTTCAACGCTGCCTGCGGTCCTAAATGATAGAGACTGGCTAGCCTTCACAGTCTTGTTCTCACCACTGTCTCTCTGTAACTCTTAGCTTATGCCAAGACTGTTCTTTGTTCCCCAGAAGCAAATCCTACAGCTCAGCTTTCTTTTTTTTTTTTTTTTAACTTTTATTATAAGTTCAGGGGTACATGTTCAGGATGTACAGGTTTGTTAGATAGGTAAATGTGTGTCATGGGGGTTTGTTGTACAGATTATTTCGTCACCCAGGTATTAAGTCTAGTATCCACTAGTTATTTTCCTTGGTGGTCTCCCTCCTCTCACCCTCTGCCCTCCGGGCCCCAGTGTGAGTTATCACTATATCTTTATACCCCTTCTACCTGTGTGAATTCTGTCCTTCAACACATGCTAATATACCACCTTCTTCCCAAAGTCTTCTTCCAAACTATCTTGGGCTTTGTTGATGCCTCATTTCTTTATTTGTAATACTTACTTTGCTCCTAAATTAATCTTTTTATTGTGAATTTTATTTTTCCAACATGTTATTATTTTTTTCTCTACCAGTAAAAAATTTGTCCTTTACTCTGTCTCTAACTGCTTAAATGCTGACATACTATCTTCTCTTAGGTGTTTGAATATAGTGTCTGATTAATTTTCTTGGACTGAGAGTTTACCCTTTCTGAGATAGCCTTTAACTTTACAGTGAATTTAAAAAATAGCCTTTTTTTTGGTTATTGTTTTTCCCAGAGAGAACCATTTGTAACTGAATCACTATTTAAAGACATTATTTATATTAGGTCTGTGTCAGTCACTCTGAAACTATTGGACACCAATTAGCACCTATGAATGCAGGTAGTAACTATCACACTGATAAAGACAGCCCCAGACATGAAGAGTAAGTAGACTCAGTGTATTTAGTAACAACAGAAGGCATAATTCTCTGAAAGGTTCTCTCAGGGGTTCTTTTACCAAACAGGATTGGGAAAGAACCTAGACTGCTTAGTATGAAAGTAAAATGTTGAACTTTTAAACAGTCATGCTGCTTTAATACCAGGAATATTTAAAGAGGCCTTTTAGCTATTTTGCTGTTCTCATATTATGAGCAAATAGTCATAGTTTATCTTCTGTCGTGCTGCTTTAGGGTCTTCTAAGCCAATCTCCAAAGGTAAATATCAATTGTTCAGCCATAAAAGTCCATAAAAACCAGAGTTCCAGAAACAGCATTATGTTTTGCATACAGTAATGTGTTTGTAAGTGTTTTATAAGCCATCTGCAACAAAAATGGCAGTGTGAATACAAGTAAATATGTTATGTCAGTTACTCTCTGGGACATTTAATAATATTAGCAATATGTTTCAATCAGAAACACATTTATTAAGGAACTTTATGTGGTTTTCTTTTTCAATTTGAAGCTAATACATTGCTTAAAAAAACTCCAAGTATATGTATGGTATCAATCCTTGTATACCAGCTGATGTTTATAGCAGTGCATCATGGGACATTACTTCCAGAATGGCTTGAAAGCCAAACCATGAATTTAGAGGGCTACATGAGTTTCCATTATCAATTTTCAGCAACCCAGACATTTCTATACAACATAAACTACCAACTGCATATCATAAATGTGACCTCAAATCCATTTATTTTGTTAATTTTCCCTCTGCTACAATTCTTACCTGAGCCTTGGCAGGTAAAAATGGAAGTTTAAATCAATCCAATTTTAATAACACCCAGGAATTCATTTCTCACCCAAATGGATATATCTTTTATCCTTCTGCTAAAGGAGGAAATATTTAGTTTGCTTTTCCTTTATGAACAAATTATCAACCTACAGTCTATATAACTATGAGGTATTCAGTAATCTAAAATTAACACATGGATACTGTTTAATTTAATTAAGCTTTTGGGAAGGTTTCAGATTTGGTTATTCTATGCATGCATCCTTTCTTTTGTATAAGACTGAAGTAACCAACAACAAAATCATTCTATTTAGATTCTCTTGGATTTATTAACTTTCTGTAAACCCTTCCCTGAGCTTCAGGTCTATACTTGCAGCTCTTTACCTGTAGATTACCTTCAGGCTACAGGAGCCACTTTGCCCTGCAAGCACAGAGAGTTTGTATCCTTTTGGTACAGTCTTTAGTCAATGATACCAAGAGTGACAGATTGGGGTGTGAGATCTTAGGTCTCTGGCCTCAGGTCACAGTAACTTTTTCCAGTGAAATTAGCTGAAATTTTCTTCCATGTGACTTTGCCTCAAATCTTATTCTTGCTTGGTTTCTTCAGTTTATCTTTTGGGTTCTTCCTAATAATTCGCTTGAATACAAATGCTCAATTTGAGTTGTACTTCTGGGGAACTTGAACTAAAACAGCTTGTCTTATACCTCAATATTTGCTTATTTAGTATAATTCTTGGTCTACCAGTAAAGAATGATACATAAATAATTTATTTTATTAGAAATTAATTTTTTAAATAATAATTTTGTTGGAGTTGCTTTTGGAGAGAACATGGGCTTAGAAGTCAGAGAAAGATTCAAAGTCAGCCTGGCTGCTCATTAGCTGTGCAACATTGGTAAACTTAATTAGTCTTTTACAGTGCTTGTTTCTTCAACTCCATTGGAATTAATCCCTATAGGGATGTGTTAGACATTACATGAATTTGTCTAGCCTATGCTTTGCTCATAGAATTTCTTGTTATAAATATTTCTCTTCGTCCTACCCGCCTGTCTAATTGCTTGAAAATGTTTAATCTGCCAAAAGTATGATCTATGTTACTTTATTGCATGTAGGTTAGGTCATGCCAATTTCACTATTAATTTTTCATGGAAAGACAGGGAATGTTAAGAAAGTGCAAGACTGAAAGGTATAGAATTAGAGATATTGCTATTCTGTATATGTAGTGATGGACTATGTGTCCTTCCTATAATCCAGAAAGCCAATACTATTTTTGGTCTTTGTCCTTCCAACTGTGGCAGCATTACCACATGTAACTACAAATGCCTTTATAATAGCAAAGTTTCAAGAATTCTAGATATTTGAGAAATATATAGCTTTAAAAGTTTGCAGAGGAAATCTAATCACTTGATATTTTATTTACTATAAAAGCAGTTAAACTGCTTAATGATTTTGTCCCTGGAGAAGAAGCATTACAGTGGCCATGTTACTTTGTAGTTACAATTATTTGCCCAATTAACACCTACCATCCATTCCTTGTTTGAACATAAATCCAACTTGTTTAGTTATCTTAAGATACCCCATTTTATTATTTTTTTAAGTATATGACCTAATTTGACCAAATAAATTTTAATACAAGTATTTGTGGATCTTTTTGGAAATGCTATGTATTCATTTTGAGACGGCAATCAGAAGTAAGTTGCTTTTTAATCTCTGCTTTAATTTCACTGGATATTATCAGTCATGTATATGAGCTTTGTAGCTGCTGTAGCCATCTCATGACTGTAGTGAAAATGAACCTTTGAAGTAAGAAGGTAAATCCAAGAAATTTACAGGAAAACAGAATAAGAGCAACTCACCTTGGAAGAGAGTCAATTCTCTTAATTACTATTTGTGTGAACTAATAAATTTCCATATTTTTACAGTTTGGATGGGCCTATTAGTTTCCAGGGGCTTTGGTAACAAATTATAACGAACCTTATAACAAACCTGATGGCTTCAAACAACAGAAATATATTCCCTCACAGCTCTGGAGGCCAGAAGTTTGACATCAAGGTATTTGCAAAGTTGCTTCTTTCTGGAGACTCTGTGAAAGAATCTGTTCCATGCTTATCTCCTAGCTTCTCGTTAGCTGCCAGCAATGCTTGGCATTCATCAGTATGTAGACACATCACACCAGTCTCTAACTGAGACTTCTCATGTCCTTCTCTCAACTGTTCCTCTGTGTGTCAAATCTCTCTCTTCTCTCTCTTATAAAAACATTAGTCATTGGACTTAGGTCTCACCCTAAATCCAGAGTAATATCACCTAGAGATTTCTAATTTAATTCTATCTGCTAAAATCCTATTTCCAAATAAGGTCACCTTCACAGAAATTGGGGGAAAAGAGTTAGACATATCTATTTGGAGGGACACAGTTCAACACAGTTGAATTTTTGTTACTCGCAGACACAACCATTCTGATTGATCCAGACTCCAATTTTATTCAAATAAATAACTCCTTTATTCTGTACCAAAATTCTAGGATCCTGGTCCTTCAAGATAATATAATTCTACAATTTAAACTTTTTAAAAAGTTAGTTATCTAATATATTTCTTGCAATAAAAATTCTCTTCAGGGGGTTCATAAGCAATGGTTGTCATACTATTTTAATTACTCTCAAATTTATGTTTTTCATGATATCCAAATTACTTCCAGATAATTTTGATCATTTGAAATCTTCTGTGAACAAAAAAAGCGTATCTTGTTTTTGAGGATCCCAAATTATGTGGCTTATCTATATGAAAGAGGACTTTTAATCTTTATTAGGGCCATAAAAGTATGGTATTAACAGCAATTTTCTAAAATAGTAAGCTAGATTGACAGATGGAAAAGAAAAAGATCTGCTTTAACAGTAAAATTTCTATACAGTTGACTCTAGGTGAGTTTACTATTAAAACTCAATAAATGTAATATTTTGTACTACTATGCATAGGGGATTATTTCAACTTATCCTGAGACATAAGTTGAAATGAACTTTGTGAACTTTGAATGGAAAATAAAATATAAATGCTTATTTTCTCTGTCATACAATAAAATGAGGGAGAGGCATGGAACATCCAGAACTAAGACAGGCAGAAAAAAATTCCATTAATTTAAAATTATGTTTATTTTAGGATATTTTACATGTTTATTTAATATGCACCCAATGGGATCAGTTCATGTGTTCTGCCATTTCCATTAAAAAAAAAATCTACAGTTTTTGATGCTCTTGCAGTAGACATAATAACTTGTTAAAGAAATGGTGTTATACTTTTGAGCCTTTTAAAGCATCTTTGAAAGTAGTATCTGGTGAGCCAAATGTATAGGAGTTTTAACATGAACTATATGAGCAGAGTCTGAGTATAGAATACCATGTATTCCTGTTATTCTGAAGAAACAGACATGAACAAACTTCTGCCCAATGATCAACTTGCACACCCAGTCAGATGTTGTCCCCAAGGATAAAACCATGACAAAACACTTAACAAGTACATTAGTATATTAATGTGAAGAAAAAAAATCAATAAATATGTTAAGAAAATTTGGTATAGTGGGAGATACTCTTCATAGATACTTTTTCTTTTTCTTTTTCCTTTTTTTTTTTTTTTTTGAGACGTAGTCTTGCTCTGTCGCCAGGCTGGAGTGCAGTGGCGCGATCTCGGTTCACTGCAACCTCTGCCTCCCATGTTCAAGTGATTCTCCTGCCTCAGCCTCTTGAGTAGCTGGGACCACAAGCATGTGCCACCATGCCCAGCTAATTTTTGTACTTTTAGTAGAGACGAGGTTCACCATGTTGGCCAGGATGGTCTCGATCTCTTGACCTCATGATCCACCCACCTCAGCCTCCCAAAGTACTGGGATTATAGGCATGGGCCACCATGCCCGGAGATAGATACTTTTGATTCAAATACTGCCTTCACCTTTTTCCAAGACAATGATCCAATTACTCAGTTTAATTTTTTTATTATAAAATAAAAATAGAGATTCATTTTGAACAACACTAAATTCTCCACTACACACTTATTAGAATAGTGAAAAGTCAAAACACTGACAACCCTAAATGCTGGCATGGAGGTTGAACAACACAAATTTTCATTTATTGCTGGCAGGAGTGCAAAATGGTCTAGTCTTTTTGTTTGCTTGTTTAAGTTTCAGGGGTATATTGCAGGTTTGTTACACGGATATATGTATATTGCTGGAGTTTGGCTTTCTATTGATGCCATCATACAAATAATGAAAACAGTACTCAATAGTAGTATTTCAAAACTTCGCCTTGCTTCCTCCCTCCTGCTTTGAGAATACCCACTGCCTACTGCTTCCATCTTTATGTCTGTGTGTACTTATTGTTTAGCTCCCATGTATAAGTGAGAAGACGAAGTATTTGATTTTCTGTTTCTGCATTACTTCAGTTAGGACAATGGCCTAGCTGCATCCAGGTTGTTGCAAAGGACAAGATTTCATTTTTTTTTATGGCTGGGTAGTATTCCATTATGTATATGTACCACAATTTTTTAATCCAATCCACCATTGATGGGCATCTAGGTTGGTTCCTTGTCTTTGTTATTGTGAATAGTGCTGTGACAACATAAAAGCACTGGTGTCTTTTTGGTAGAATGATTTATTTTTGTTTGGGTAGATACCCACTAATTGGATTGCTGGGTCAAATGGTCATTCCATTTTTATTTCTTTGAGAAATCTCCATGTTGTTTTCCCCAGAGGCTAAAATAATTGACATTCTCACTAACAGTGTATAAGTGTTCACTTTTCTCCACATCCTTGCCAGCATCTGTTAATTTTTACTTTTTAATAATAGCCATTCTGACTGAAGTAAGATAATATATCATTGTAGTTTTGATTTGCATTTCTCTGGTGTTTAGTGATGTTTGGCATTTTTTCATATGCTTATTGGCTGCTTGTATGTCTTTTTTTGAGAAGTGTCTGTTCATGTTCTTTGCCCACTTTTTAATGGGGTTTTTTTTTCATGCTGATTGGTTAATGTTTCTTATAGGTTCTGTTTGTTAGTTCTCTGTTGGATATATAGTTTGCAAGTATTTTCTCCCCTTCTCTAAGTTGTCTGTTTACTCTAGATAGTAAGAGCATCTTTTGCTGTGCAGAAGCTCTTTAGTTTAATTAGGTCTGACTTGTCAATTTTTGTTTTGGTGCATTTGCTTTTGAGGTCTTAGTCATAAATTCTTTGCCTAGGCCAATGTCCAAAGAAGTTTTTCCAAAGTTTTCTTCTAGGACTTTTATAGTTTGACATTTTACTTTGAAGTCTTTGTCTTGAGTTCATTTTTGTCTGTGATGAGAAGTAGGGGTTCAATTTCATTCTTCTGCATATGGTTAACCAGTTTTCCCAGAACATTGTATTGCATAGGGTGTCATTTTCCTGTTCTTCATTTCTGGATTTCCTATTCTGTTCCATTGGTCAATGTGTTTATTTTTGTACCGCTTCCATGCTCTTTTAGTTACTAGCCTTGTAGTATAGTTTGAAGCCAGATAATATAATGTCTCCAGCTTTATAACTTTTGCTTAGGATTGCATGAGCTATTTGGGATCTTTTTGGTTCCACATGGATTTTAGAATTGTTTTTTTCTAATTTTGTGAAAAATAACATTGGTTATTGGACAGGAATAATATTGAATCTGTAGATTGCTTTGAGCAGTATGGACATTTTAACCATATTGATTCTTGGCATTTGTTTGTGTAATCTATGATTTCTTTCAGCAGTGCTTTGTTAACAGTTCTTCTAGAGCTCTTTCACCTCCTTGGTTGGATGTATTCCTAGGTCCTTTATTTTGTTGTGGCTACTGTAAATGGGATTGAATTATTGATTTGGCTCTCAGCATGAATGTTATATTGGTGTATAGAAATGCTACTACTTTTAGTATATTGATTTGGTATTCTGAAACTTTACTGAAGTTGCTTATCAGGTCTAGGAGTCTTTTGGAAGAATCTTTAACGTTTTCTCAGTATAGAATCATATTGTCAGCAAAGAGAAGTAATTTGACTTCCTCTTTTCCTATTTGGATACCTTTTATTTCTTTTGCTTGCCTGATTGCCCTGGTTCAGATTTGTTGTGCCTTGTCTCTGGCACAAGACAAGGATGTCCACTCTCACTAGTAGAAGTGAGAAGTGCTAGTTTTCAGGGGGAATGCTGCCAACTTTTGCCTGTTTGGTATAATGTTGGCTGTGGGTTTGTCATGGATAGCTCTTATTATTTTGAGTTATGTTCCTTCAATGCATACTCTGTTAAGGGTTTTTATTATGAAGATAGATTAGATATGTTAGATTTTATGGAATGCCTTTTCTGCATCTATTGAGATGATCACATGGTTGTTGTTTTTAATTCTGTTTATGTGGTGAATCACATTTATTGATTTATGTATGTTGAACCATCCTTGCATTCCAGGAATAAAGTCCACTTGACCATGATGAATAATTTTTTTTGATATGGTGCTTTATACAGTTTGTTAGTATTTTGTGGAAGATTTTTGCATCTATGTTCATCAGGAATATTGGCTTACATTTTTCTTTTTATGTTGTGTCCTTGCCAGGTTTTGGTATTAGTATAATACTGGTTTTGCAGAAAGAGTTAGAGAGGAATGACTCTTGGCACAGCTTTTCTTTGTATGTCTGATAAAATTTGGCTATGAATCAAAATCCATCTACTGTAAGGTTTTGTTTTGTTTTGGTAGGTATGTTTTTTTTAAATTACAGATTCAATTTTGTAACTCATTATTGGACTGTACAGGATTTCAATTTCTTTCTGTTTAATCTTGGGAGGTTGTATGGGTCCAGAAAATTAAAAATTTCTTCTGGATTTTTTAGTTTGTACAAATAGAGATGGTCAGAGTAGTTTCTGAAGATCTTTTGCATTTCTGTAGGATCAGTTGTAATGTCACTTTTGTCTTTTTTAATTGTGCTAATTTTGATATTTTGTCTTTATTAGTCTGGCTAGCAGTCTATCAGTCTTCTTTATCTTTTCAAATAATCAACTTTTTAAAAATTGATTCTTTGTATGGTTTTTGTTCTCAATTTAATTTAGTTCTGCTATGATTTTAGTTATTTCTTTTATTCTACTAGGTCTGAGTTTCGTTTGTCCTTGTTTTCCTAGTTCCTTTAGGGGTGACGTTGAGTTGTTAATTTGAGATATTTTTAACTTCTTGGTGTAGACATTTAGTACTATACAATTTCCTCTTAACACTGCTTTTTCTGTATCCCAGAGATCGTGGCATGTGATGCCTCTATTTCCATTTGTTTCAAGGACATTTTTAAAATTGTTGCCCTAATTTGGCTATTCACCCCAAAATCATTAAGGGGCAAGTGGTTTAGTTTCCATGTATTTGTCAGGTTTTAAGAGTTCCTGCTGGTATTGACTTTAAATTTTATTCCACTGTCTTCTGAGAAGATGTGTAGTATGATTTTGAATTTTTTGACTTTATTAAGAATTGCTTTATGACAGAGCATGTAATCAATCTTAAGAGTATATCCTTGTGTAGTTGAGAAGAATGTATATTCTGTGGTTGTTGGTGGAATATTGTAAAGGTGTCTATTAGCTCCACTTGGCCAGGTGTCCAATTTTAGTCTTGAATTTGTTAGTTTTGAGCCTTAATGTTTTGTCTAAATGTTGTGTGTGGGGTGCTGAAGACCCCCACTATTATTGTGTAGCTGACTAACTCTGTACATAGGTTTTATAGTAATTGTTTTATAAATCTAGGTGCTCCAATGTTGGGTGTATGTATAATTGGGATAGTAAAATCTTCTTGATGAATTGAAAGCTTGATCATTATGTAGTCCCTTTTTTGCCCTGTCTTTTTTTTTTTACTGTTATTGGCAAACAGTCTGTCTTATCTGATATAAAAATAGCAATCCCTGCTTTATTTGTTTTTCATTGGCATTATAGATGTTCACTCATCCCTTTACTTTGAGCCTATGCATGCCATTAAAGATGAGAGTGTCTCTTGAAGACAGCAGAAGGTTGAGTTATTTTTTTCTAATCCAATTTGCCCCTCTAAGTCTTTTAAGTGGAGCATATAGGTTATTTACATTGAAGGTTAATATTGATATGGGGGTTTTTGTTCCTGTCTTGGTGTTTTTAGCTAGTTGCTTTGCAGTCTTGATTTGTATTTGCTTTATATGGTCTGTGGGCTTTGTACTTACACGTGCTTTTGTAGTGGCAAGTATCATTATTTTGTTGCCATGTGTAGAACTCCATTAAACATTTCTTAGAGGTCCAGGCTGGTGGTGACAATTTCCCTTAGTCTTTGCTGGTCTCAAAATACTTTATTTCTCCTTGTTTGTGAAACTTAGCTTTGTAGGAAATGAAATTATTGGATGGAATTTTTTTCTTTAGGAATGCTAAAAAATAGACCCTCAGTCTCTTCTGGCTTGTAAGGTTTCTGCTAAGAAAGCCACTGTCAATCTTAGGAAAATCCTTTTTTAAGTAATTTGACCCTTTTCTCCAGCTGCCTTTAAAATTTTTTATTTCTTGTTGATTTTGGATAGTTGGATAACTGTATGCTTTGGGGATGGTCATCTTGTATAGTTTCTTACAGGAGTTTCTGAATTTCTTGGGTCTGCATGTTGACCTCTAGCAAAATTGGGGAAATTTTCCTGAATTAAACTCTTGAATATATTTTCCAAGTTGTCTACTTTTTCTTCTTCTCTCTCAGGAATGCCAATAAGTCATAGGTTTTGCCATATTACATAATCCAATGTTCCTCAAAATCTTTGTTCAGTTTTTAAAGTTATTTAAAAAAAATTTGTCTCACTGGTTTGGTTCAAAGGAACAGTTTTCTTGCTGTAAAAGCCTTTCTCTTTCTTTGTCTAGCCTATTGTTTAGGCTTCCAACTGCATTTTGAAATTCCCGTAGTGAATTTTTCAATTCCAACAGTTCTTTTTTGTTCTTTTTTGTTTAGCCATGCCATCTTTCGTATCTTGAACCTTTTTGTGTGCTTGTTTGTCTCTTTGTTTTGGATTTCAGCTTTCTCCTCAATCTCACTGAGTTACCTCACCATTCATATATTTAACTCTCTAGCAACAATTTCGGACATTGCAATCTGGTTAGGACCCATTGCTAAGGAGTATATACAATCTTTTGGAGGTGACAAAACACTCTAGCTTTTTAAGCTGCCAGAGTTCTTGCTATAATTTCTACTTATCTAAGGGATCTCTTGCTTCTTTTTTTGAGTTTTCTATCATTTGGATGGGGTTTTAATTTTTTTATTCTTTTTTTCCCTTGAGGGTTTGACTGTGGTGTATGTTGTGTATAATTGAATGGCTTTGGTTTTGGGTGCTTTCAGAGGACCAAAGCTCGGAAGGGGTTCCTTGTTTGCAAATAGGTTCTTTGCGGTGACATTCTCAGATCCTGCTTGTTGATGTAATTTTTTTTTTTTTGGTTTGGTGGTGCAATTCATGCTGAAGTCCTGTAGATGGTGCTTAAGAGTAAGAGCCAGTGAATGAGCTGATGCCCTACATACATGCTCTGATGGAGGTAGCAAGAAGAGATGTTGATGTGGTGCACTGAAGCACAGGGGGAAGAACCTGGGGAGGTATGAACAAGTTCCTCATCTTGAGCTAGCAAGAGAACAATCAGCTTCCCTATTACACCCCTGTCATGGGGTTCGCAGTCTTCTGTTTATGAAGCCTTCATCTTTGGTACCCAGCTGCAGCTTGGCTGTGGGCAAAGGAGCGTCTACCTTATGGCTATCACTAGAATGGGGTTGGTGGCAGAGCCACTTTTCCCTGTCCAGGGCAGGTAACTTCGCACTCTGTCCTCCCTTGCAGGGGTGCTAGAACTCTGTGTAGGGAGGGGTAGTTGGGTGCCATCCTTTGTTTTCAACTCTCTGGAAAAGCATGAGAAGCACTTTTTTCAGTGTGTGCTCACTTTCTTTGAGGATGGAGCCACTGGAAAAATGAGATAAATGATTTATTTAATTGCTCACTCACCAGGCCCTGATAGGAAGAACTACTACTGCAGCTGACACAGTGTATGGAGAGGTGGGGGACAAAATATTACCCAATCTCCACATCACTTCCTAGTCATCGATGGGACCCCTTTTGCAGTTGGTGCCTCACCTGCATTTCCTTTGCCCCCGGAGGGGCTTTGCCAGGCCGTGTTCTTCACCAAGGGTTAGATCTCCAGGAGACTCACAACTTCCTGGGCTCCACAAGTTCCCTGTGCTTGCCAAAATCAGAGTGGGTTGTGGGGTATGTTTGTGAGTGTTCCGGTGGTGCAGTAGTTCAAGAGCAGAGGATCCCCAGGAAGGAGAGTTGCACCACGGTTACCCAACTGGTATGGTGCCCACTCTCTTAGCTTGGGTCTGAGGGGTATGTGGCATGGCTGCACAAGCTGACCACTCAGTTCTCTGTTTAGGAGAAGTTCTCTGATTGCTACTGATAGTGCTACCATGGATTGCAAGGGCAGAGGGGCACCCAACAGTTTAGTAGTCAGCAGCTTGGCAGAGGGTTCCGGGAGGGGAGAAGCACTCCCACCTACCCTTTCTGCTGGGCTTTGAGTGTATTAGGGGTCAGTCTAGACTTTTGCTGCTTTTTTTTCTATACCCCAGCTTCTTTCCATGGGTGCTCTGATGGATCCTGGCTCTCTTCTCTCCATCTTCTGTTTAAAACTTGGCCATGCACTGGTATCTTTGATCTAATTTCTGAGGAGAACCAGTATGTATGTCCCTAGTCTGCTATGCCATGTTAAAAAAAAAAAAGATATAACCACTTTGGAAAACATTTTGGCAGTATTTAAAAAAATACACTTCAGCAATCATACTCCTTGGAATTCATCCAAATAAATTGAAAACGTATGTCCACAGAAAACATGCATTAGAATGTTTCTAGAAGCTTTATTCATAATTGCTAAAGTGTCCTTTAGTTGGTGAGTGGATAAATAAATTGTAGTACATTCAGACAATGGAATATTATTTAGCAGTAGCAAGAAAGCTATCAAGCCAAGAAAAGAACTGGAGGAAACTTGATGGCTTATCACTCAGTGAAAGAAACCAAACTGCAACTACTATAGACTGTGTAATTCCAACTATGACATTCTGCAAAAGGCAAAACTATGAAGTAAAGAAGATCAGTAGCTTCCAGGGGTTAGGAAGAGGGAGGGATGCAAAGGCAGATGAGATGCTTTGGGCTCTCTGTCCCCAACTAAATCTCATCTCAAATTGTAATCCCCACATGTTGAGGGAGAGACTTGGTGGGAGATGATTAGATCATCGGGGCAGATTTTCCCTATTCCGTTCTTGTGATAGTGAGTTAGCTCTCAAAACAGCTGATGGTTTAAAAGTGTGTGGCTTTCTTCGCTCCCTCCCTCTCCTGCCACCATATAAGATGTGCCTTGCTTCCCCTTTGCCTTCCGCCATGATTGTAAGTTTCCTGAGGCCTCCCCAGCCATGCAGAACTGTGAATCAATTAAACCTCTTTTCTTTATAAATTACCCATTCTCAGGTAGTTCTTTATAGCAGTGTGAAAACAGACTAATACAGCAGAGAAAAGTGTATTTTCAGGGAAGTGAAATATTGTCTGATACTACAATGATGGATAATGTCATTATACATTTGTCAAAACCCATGAAATGAGTACACTACCAACAGTGAACCCTAATGGAAACTATGCAAATATATCCTAGGCAAATATGTAAACTATGACCTTTAAGTATTAATTTTGTGTCACTGTAGATTCATGGATTGTAACGAACATATGATTCTTATGCAGAATGTTGATAGTAGGGGAGTATGTGCATGTGTGTGGTCAGGGGCCATATAGAAACTCTATCTTTTTGGGGTGGAGCCAAGATGGCTGAATAGGAACAGCTCCAGTCTACAGCTCCCAGCGTGAGCAACGCAGAAGACGGGTAATTTCTGCATTTCCAGCTGAGGTACCGGGTTCATCTCACTGGGGAGTGTTGGACAGTGGGTGCAGGACAGTGGGCTCAGCGCACCAAGCATGAGCCAAAGCAGGGTGAGGCATCACCTCACCTGGGAAGCGCAAGGGGTCAGGGAATTCCCTTTCCTAGTCAAAGAAAGGGGTGACAGACGGCACCTGGAAAATTGGGTCACTCCCACCCTAATACTGCGCTTTTCCAACGGTCTTAGCAAAGGGCACACCAGGAGATTATATCTTGCACATGGCTCAGAGGGTCCTATGCCCGGGGAGCCTCGCTCACTGCTAGCACAGCAGTCTGAGAAAAAACTGCAAGGCGGCAGCGAGGCTGGGGGAGGGGTGCCCGCCATTACTGAGGCTTGAGTAGGTAAACAAAGTGGCCAGGAAGCTCGAACTGGGTGGAGCCCACTGCAACTCAAGGAGGACTGCCTGCCTCTGTAGACTCCACCTCTGGAGGCAGGGCATAGCCAAACAAAAGGCAGCAGAAACCTCTGCAGACTTAAATGTCCCTGTCTGACAGCTTTGAAGAGAGTAGTGGTTCTCCCAGCACACTGCTGGAGACTGCCTCCTCAAGTGGGTCCCTGACCCCCGAGTAGCCTAACTGGGAGGCACCCCCCGGTAGGGGCAGACTGACACCTCACACGGCCGGGTACTCCTCTGAGACAAAACTTCCAGCGGAACGATCAGGCAGCAACATTTGCTGTTCACCAATATCCACTGTTCTGCAGCCTCCGCTGCTGATACCCAGGCAAATAGGATCTGGAGTGGACCTCCAGCAAACTCCAACAGACCTACAGCTGAGGGTCCTGATTGTTAGAAGGAAAACTAACAAACAGAAAGGACATCCACACCAAAACCCCATCTGTATGTCACCATCATCAAAGACCAAAGGTAGATAAAAACACAAAGATGGGGAAAAAAACAGAGCAGAAAAACTGGAAACTCTAAAAATTAGAGCACTTCTCATCCTCCAAAGGAATGCAGCTCCTCACCAGCAATGGAACAAAGCTGGATGGAGAATGACTTTGACGAGTTGAGAGAAGAAGGCTTCAGATGATCAAACTACTCCAAGCTAAAGGAGGAACTTCGAACCCATGGCAAAGAAGTTAAAAACCTCAAAAAAAAATTAGATGAATGGCAAACTAGAATAACCAATGCAGAGAAGTCCTTAAAGGACCTGATGGAGCTGAAAACCACGGCACGAGAAAACATTTTAAGGCCAGGCATAGTGGCCCACACTTGTTATCTTAGCACTTTGGGAGGCTGAGGTGGGAAGATCATTTGGGTTCAGGAGTTTGAGGATACAGTGAGCTATGATTATGTTATGGTACTCTAACCTGGGTGACAGAGTAAGATTCTGTTTCTAAAACAAAAAGCAATGACAAAAAAACCAAAAGATTTGCTGCATTTCTTTCTAACTTATTTTTGTTTATATAGCATTTGTCCTGCATAATACTAAGTAATGCTAAATAGTACTATTATTAAATAATATTAAATATTATTGAATAATAACAATATTAAATTTTTAATTCTAAAACTATTTATTGTGTACCTATTATGGCTCCAAAACTCTTCTAGGCAATCAAAATACAATTATAAACTTGGAAGAGAAATTCTCTGTTTTCATGAAAGTTGAATTCTAATGAAAATTTAATACCCAGAAAGACAAATCTAGAAATAATATATTTGTATTTACTGATCAGGATTTAAAAAAATAACAATAGTAAGGAGTGTAAGAACTAATACAAATTAAACATAAGCAGCTTAGTTCTTCTTACTGGAAATAAAGGAAGAGGTATATCCTCCATTCTCTTTTCTGAGAGCATTTATTTTAGAAAACTGATCATTTTAAGTTTTTTTTGTATCTCTTTGAAATGTACATAAATCTTTTTGAAAGTTAAATAGCCTCTTGACAGCTTTTAGACCCAGAGATATCTTTCCCAAGGACTGGGAAACTATGTAATTGAAATGTAATCAACAAAGATAGCACCTTACCTCCTCTTTTCCTCCTGTTTCTATGAAAGGGCAAGAGACTAACATCAGTGGGTGCCTTTCTCCAAGTTGCAAAACTAAGTGTTGTAACAAACATGTAAGAGGTTTATTTTTCTGTCAGATGAAAGTAATTAGTTAACACAGAAAGACACTCTATGAAGTGAATTTATGCTGAACTATGTGTGACAAACAGTGCTGTCAAGTCCTCTTATGTGAGGCTAGCTATTGTTTATCTTGAGAATACATTTGTAATGGGTTGTATATGCTTCTCTATGTAAAAAAGTGAGACTTCTGTCTTTGCAGTCTCTTAGTGGATTGCTTGTGATTTGTGTCACGTACTGTTTTAATTCTTATTAAACAATAAATTTGTGTTACTTCTCTTCCACCTTTGTGGTGGAGGAGAGACTTCTGGGCTTAAAGGAGATTTTGTTTATAATTATATTTTCTCAACATGGAATAGAAAATTATGCAATAAGATGTTTGTGAGGATGTGGATTTAGAGAGAATGGCCTACAAATTCTTTCTAGGGAAACGATATTTGAGTAGAGATCTGAATGTTAGAAAAGAACTAGCTATATAAAATATCTATGGAAAAGAATCCAAGTAGTGAAAATAGCAAACATGATAGTTCTGAGACAAAGATAAGCCTGGTTTATTTTAATAACGGAAGTAGGCCAATGTATGTAAGGCTTAAAGAATGATAGGAAAAGTGATAAATAAGATCAGAAAGATAAGTTGACATCATGTATGGCTTGCTGTCATTAAGAAGACATTTTTTAAAAGATTCTATGTGTAATTGTATGCATCGCCTTGCTCATGATTTCAAAAATATTACTACTAGGTTTTCTTTGTACAGAATAGGCTATGAAGGGGAAAGAGCTGTAGCAAGGAGGTAATTAGGAGTCTATTATAGTTGTCCAGGCAGGAAATAGGACTAGAATAACAGTGGTGGAGGTTTTGAGAGATGATTGAATTTGGAATAAACTTTGGAGATAGACAACTCCATTTGGAAAAGAAGACTATGAAAAACAGAGAAATCAAGAATACTCCCTAGGTCCTTGTCCTCTGCAATTGTATGAATGGTGACACCATCATAAACTGTGGTAGGCTGGGGAAGACTAATTTTAAGGGGGAAATAAAAAATTCCATTCAGCCATGTAATGCTTGAAACACTCATTAGATACTCAAATACTGACAGTGAGCAGTGAGAGAAAAATAGTCTGGAGTTCAGAAATATATTTTAAGAAATCAATAGTGTAGAGTGTATTGTAAACCAAGGGTCTGAATAATGTCATCTAGACTAGAGTATTGCTGGTGATAAAAAGATAGATGTAAGCTGTTCCCTGAGACACATAGGCATTTAAAGAACTGAAAAAGGGGGAGAGGCTAGGAAAGGAAAATGATGAGTCATTAGTACAGTAGGAAGTAAAAGAAGACTGTGATTTTACATATGCCAAAAAATGATTTTGAGTTGAAAGAAAGTTGTCAACAGTGTCAGAGACATGAGTTCAAGGGTGATAAGAACAGATATTTGAATTTTGTATTTAGAAAGGTAGTCATTGGTGACCTTGATAAGATCACTTTCAATGGAATGATGGGGAAGAAAATCTAAATTGAGTGGAATAAGGAGGTGAGGAAAAGAAGACTAAATATAGGCAGCTCTCTTGTTAGTTGATGGGAAGCATGACTACAAAAGAGAAAAGCTGTGCATTTTAAAAAAAATAACCAGGATTGATTTTATGTCAGATTCCAAGACTCCAGCTATTTTATCGTCTTTTTCGTTGTTGTCAATATGCCCCCACCATCTCTTCAGATACATAAATAGAGAAAAATGACAGAGACAACAGCAATAAATTCAGCATGAAAAATGACAATATACACTCCAAAGTATATGCGTCATCTTGCAAACTTAGGATTCTTAATATGAACACAATTTAGTGGGGTTGATTTATGCCACCTCCTATTTCTCTAGAAAAAAAGAATAATACCTATTTTATAAATGTTTAAAATCATATTAAAAATACTATATGAATTTTGTTTTTCTGTCAACCACATGCTAGGTCTTTTCAGAATTTTTTTTTAAAAATCCTGTAACCATAGTTTTCTTTTAAGCAAAACTAAACAACTTTCCATCTCCCCTGATAAATTACTATTTTTTAATTTTAATTTTCCTCTCAAGTTATACTTAATATTTTAAAAAAATATTTTGGAACTTTTTTGAGTAGTTTATTCATGATGCATACCTGGGTGAAATGTTTTCTGAAGCTTCACATATGAAATTGTTTTTATTCTTTTCCAGAGTAATAAATAAGTTGGTTGGATACGAGGATCTTGGTACATGGCAGGCCTACTCACATTCTCTACTTATTTGCTGGGTTTTTTTAAAAACTGGTTGATGTGTATGTTTCCAAGAACCTTTTCTTCTTTTGGAATTTTTGGAAATTTTTCTTTGACGTTAAAATAAAAAAGTATATCCTATTTAATTCTATATTTGCCCTAAAACATTTTGATTACTCTTTTTTTAAACTTTTCTCCCTTCTTTAAATTTTTATTTTTTCCAGACAGGTCTCACTACATTTCTTAGGCTGTACTGGAACTCCTGGGGCTCAGCTGATCTTCTGCCTCTGCCCCCTGAGTTAACTGGTACTACAGATCTTGTAGGTTTTGTTTTGTTTTCAAGATAAGAAATTTTTTTCTTCTGCTAAGGAGTCTTCAGTGTTTCTTCTACTTTCTTTTTTGTTCAGACCTAATATGCATACTGTGCAATCCCAGTGTTAGTTTTACAAATATTTTCTATTAAAATAATTTTCAAACTGCATATTATTTTTCTGCAGTGTTCTGATATTTTTCCCTGGATTGTTTCTCAGTATTAAAGGATTATTTCTTGACTTTCTCCTGCAAAATACAAATTTGATACTGTTGATAATCCTATTCACACTCATGCATGCTTCTCAGTTCCCATGATTTCTTACATCTTTTCCTTTACAAATCTAGTGTATGTGCCTTTCACTTGCAGACCCAAAATCAGTACTGTAGGGAAAAATACTAATTCCAAGATTTCTTCCCCACAGAAAACAGGAATTTTGTTGTTGTTGTTGTTGTTGTTTGTTTGTTTTGATAATTCATTCTTCCTTGATATTATTGCAAAAGACACTGCCTCAAGATGGTCTATTTATTTTAATTTTTTATCTTCAACTTCCTTAGCCACATTTAAAAATTTTAAGTTTGAGATATGCAGAAAGCCTCATATAATTTATCCCTATGATCTAGAACCACGTGTTTACTGTACTTTTTTTTTTTAAGTTTCAACAGGTTCTTAATGTAATCTGCCCCCACCATCTCTTAAGATATGTAGAGAAAAATGAGAGAGAGAATAACAACAAACTCAGCATGCAAAATAACAATATATACTCCATTGTATATGTGTCATCTTGCAAACTTAGGATTCTTAGTATAAACACAATTTAGTGGGGCTGATTAATGCCACCTCCAATTTATTTAGAAAAAGGATAATACCTATTTTATAAATGTTTAAAATCATATTAAAAAATTACTATATGAATTTTGATTTTCTGTCAACCACATGCTAGTTTTCAAATTTCCTTGATGACTCTATGTCTAATACCAAACCTATGTCTAGAAACATTAATTCTTTAATCGGAAAATAGAAATATGAGTGTATCTGACCACAGTAACTCTATAAAAATGTATATTCTTATATAAAATCACCTCATAAGGCAAATTATTTTTTATTTATTTTTTATTATTTATTTAGAGGCAGGATCTTGCTGCGTTGCCCAGGCTACAGTGTAGTAGTATGATCATAGCTCAGGCAGCCTGAAACTCCTGGACTAAGTGATCCTCCTGCCTCAGCCTCCCAAGTCAATAAAAGCAACATTTTGTCCAGAAACTAAAACCCTGGGAATGGGAGCAAAAGAGGAGGCTGCAGTGTTTGAATAAATCTATACGTCTGTGAGTGAGTGTGTGTGTGTATGCAGTGAATTTTTAGGCTATGATCTACCTAGTTAAATCAAGTAGGAGAAGACAGACTTAAGCCTAATTAATGAGGAATCCATCTGACAGAACCAACACTCAGTATCTCCCAGTAAAGAACATGTTCTTAGCTATACCCACTGATAACTAGAAATTTTTGCTGGAAATACAATTTAAAAATATAAGCAAAGTAAAATTCTTGGGAATGAATAAAAGGCTCAATGATTAGAGCTGGGGGCAAAGGCCAGGGCTGCCATATCATTGAGAGTCACTCGATGGGGGATCTTAGATGCTGGGCTGTCTGTCACTACAGCACCAATGGATGACTGAACCCTTCTTCACGTTAAGTCAAGAATTGTACCAAACAGCTTTGAAACAGCTTCATGATTGAGTAGTGCTTAGAAAATAAGCAGGCAGGTATGTTGTTTTTAAAGGTTAATGAAATACAAGTCCCTGGAAAATATCCTTCTAAGCAGTTGATTACAGTATACTGAGAAAAGAATAACTGTTGAGGGTGCCAAAACTATCAGCCCTAATGAACAGGTAGAATAAGTGACTTTCTACACTGGATAATTTCAAGGGCCACAAAAGCCTCAACAAAACTCCATGTTATCCTTCAACATTACATTCATTTATCCATTCAACACAAGTTGATAATAATATATTTTTTTCTTGCCAAACTGCAGATCCCCGGAATGAAGATGGGGAAGATGGTGTTTCTGTGAATTAACAATAATAATAATAAAATAAAAAATACTTGAAATTCTTTTCAGTCATAGAAATGTTGAAATGTTTTGTTTAATTTTTCTTTGTGTATTTATTAGCATAGTGGTTGAAATGTTGTGGATTCTCATAGAATATTTGTGTAACTTTCATGTAGGGTAAATATAAAAACAGAAATCAGAAATCAGGCTGGTAGGAAAGTACCAAATGATGGTATTCCTTAAGGGGATGCGTTAAGTTCATTGTGTCAGGGGTACACATGAGAATAAGAAAATTAAGTGTGCTAAATACAAGACCTGCCTTCTTTACAATATGATTGTGGACCAGAAAATGATCAATACTAGGCCTCTTTGTAAACATTGTACAACTCCCTCTCATTATTTTCCTGTCTGGAAAAATTCTCCTTGTGTATGCAACAGACATCTCATTCCTCCTTCTGTCCTTTAAACTGGAAGAACTCCTTATGTTGTCTATGCATGGATAAAACAAGAATCAACCTAAACACAAACATTTTTTTTCTATCAATCAATTAAGAATTCAGACTGAATCTTAAAATGAAATTCTATTTCATTCATTCCCCAGCACATTGTGGCTGAGAAATGCAACTGGTATTATAAGTAAATGAGTCATGTTAGGAGAGTCCAGACATTTAACATCTACTCCCGGAAGCCTTCAAGTGCCCTGTTCAGACAATGAAATCCTCTAAAAATGCTATGATGTATTTCACCTATGAAATGTTTTTATCCAATTCGTAAAACTCAGGATATGAGTCAAGGCAACCAGAAGAATTCAGTTTGAGATAATCTTAATGATTTAAAGCCTGCGATGACTGATTAGGAATTCTGAGCTTTTTTGATGTAACCGTTAAAATATCCTGCAAAAATCTTCCTATAGATTGAACTTGATATCTATACTCTTTTTTTTCTGTACTTTGTTATTATTATTATTATTATTATACTTTAAGTTTTAGGGTACATGTGCACAATGTGCAGGTTTGTTACATATGTATACATGTGCCATGTTGGTGCACTGCACCCATTAACTTGTCATTTAGCATTAGGTATATCTCCTAATGCTATCCATCCCCCCTCCCCCCACCCCACAACAGTCCCTGGAGTGTGATGTTCCCCTTCCTGTGTCCATGTGTTCTCGTTGTTCAATTCCCACCTATGAGTGAGAACATGCGGTGTTTGGTTTTTTGTCCTTGAGATAGTTTGCTGAGAATGATGATTTCCAGTTTCATCCAGGTCCCTGCAAAGGATATGAACTCATCATTTTTTATGGCTACATAGTATTCCATGGTGTATATGTGCCACATTTCCTTAATCCAGTCTATCGTTGTTGGACATTTGGGTTGGTTCCAAGTCTTTGCTATTGTGAATAGTGCCGCAATAAACATGTGTACATGTGTCTTTATAGCAGCATGATTTATAGTCCTTTGGGTATATACCCAGTAATGGGATGGCTGGGTCAAATGGTATTTCTAGTTCTAGATCCCTGAGGAATCGCCACACTGACTTCCACAATGGTTGAACTAGTTTACAGTCCCACCAACAGTGTAAAAGTGTTCCTATTTCTCCACATCCTCTCTAGCACCTGTTGTTTCCTGACTTTTTAATGATCGCTATTCTAACTGGTGTGAGATGGTATCTCATTGTGGTTTTGATTTGCATTTCTCTGATGGCCAGTGATGGTGAGCATTTTTTCACGTGTTTTTTGGCTGCATAAATGTCTTCTTTTGAGAAGTGTCTGTTCATGTCCTTCGCCCACTTTTTGATGGGGCTGTTTGTTTTTTTCTTGTAAATTTGTTTGAGTTCATTGTAGATTCTGGATATCAGCCCTTTGTCAGATGAGTAGGTTGCGAAAATTTTCTTCCATTTTGTAGGTTGCCTGTTCACTCTGATGGTAGTTTCTTTTGCTGTGCAGAGCTCTTTAGTTTAATTAGATCCCATCTGTCAATTTTGGCTTTTGTTACCATTGCTTTTGGTGTTTTAGACATGAAGTCCTTGCCCATGCCCTGAATGGTAATGCCTAGGTTTTCTTCTAGGGTTTTTATGGTTTTAGGTCTAATGTTTAAGTCTTTAATCCATCTTGAATTAATTTTTGTATAGGGTGTGTCCTCCATCCCTTTATTTTGAGCCTATGTGTGTCTCTGCACGTGAGATGGGTTTCCTGAATACAGCACACTGATGGGTCTTGAGTCTTTATCCAGTTTGCCAGTCTGTGTCTTTTAATTGGAGCATTTAGCCCATTTACATTTAAAGTTAATATTATTATGTGTGAATTTGATCCTGTCATTATGATGTTAGCTGGTTATTTTGCTTGTTAGTTGATGCAGTTTCTTCCTAGCCTTGATGGTCTTTACAGTTTGGTATGTTTTTGCAGTGGCTGGTACCAGTTTTTCCTTTCCATGTTTCATGCTTCCTTCATGAGCTCTTGTAAGGCAGGCCTGTTGGTGACAAAATCTGTCAGCATTTGCTTGTCTGTAAAGGATTGTATTTCTCCTTGACTTATGAAGCTTAGTTTGGCTGGATATGAAATTCTGGGTTGAAAATTCTCTTCTTTAAGAATGTTGAATATTGGTCCCCACTCTCTTCTGGCTTGTAGAGTTTCTGCTGAAAGATCTGCTGTTAGTCTGATGGGCTTCCCTTTGTGGGTAACCCAACCTTTCTCTCTGGCTGCCCTTAACATTTTTTCCTTCATTTCAACTTTGGTGAATCTGACAATTATGTGTCTTGTAGTTGCTCTTCTCGAGGAGTATCTTTGTGGCGTTCTCTGTATTTCGTGAATCTGAATGTTGGCCTGCCTTTCTAGATTGGGGAAGTTCTCCTGGATAATATCCTGCAGAGTGTTTTCCAACTTGGTTCCATTCTCCCCGTCACTTTCAGGTACACCAATCAGACGTACATTTGGTCTTTTCACATAGTCCCATATTTCTTGGAGACTTCGTTCATTTCTTTTTATTCTTTTTTCTCTAAACTTCCCTTCTCACTTCATTTCATTCATTTCATCTTCCATCACTTATACCCTTTCTTTCAGTTGATCACATTGGCTCCTGAGGCTTCTGCATTCTTCATGTAGTTCTCGAGCCTTGGCTTTCAGCTCCATCAGCTCCTTTAAGCACTTCTCTACATTGGTTATTCTAGTTATACATTTGTCTAATTTTTTTTCAAAGTTTTTAACTTCTTTGCCATTGGTTTGAATTTCCTCCTGTAGCTTGGAGTAGTTTGATCGTCTGAAGCCTTCTTCTCTCAACTCGTCAAAGTCATTCTCCGTCCAGCTTTGTTCTGTTGCTGGTGAGGAACTGTGTTCCTTTGGAGGAGGAGAGGCGCTCTGCTTTTTAGAGTTTCCAGTTTTTCTGTTCTGTTTTTTCCCCATCTTTGTGATTTTATCTACTTTTGGTTTTTGATGATGGTGACATACAAATGGGTTTTTGGTGTGGATGTCCTTTCTGTTTGTGAGTTTTCCTTCTAACAGCCAGGACCCTCAGCTGCAGGTCTGTTGGAGTTTGCTAGAGGTCCACTCCAGACCCTGTTTGCCTGGGTGTCAGCAGTAGTGGCTGCAGAACAGTGGTGGCTGTAGAACAGCGGATTTTCCTGAACCGCAAATGCTGCTGCCTGATTGGTCCTCTGGAAGTTTTGTCTCAGAGGAGTACCCGGCCGTGTGAGGTGTCAGTCTGCCCCTACTGGGGGGTGCCCCCCAGTTAGGCTACTCGGGGGTCAGGGACCCACTTGAGGAGGCAGTCTGCCCGTTCTCAGATCTCCAGCTGCATGCTGGGAGAACCACTACTCTCTTCAAAGCTGTCACACAGGGACGTTTAAGTCTGCAGAGGTTACTGCTGTCTTTTTGTTTGTCTGTGCCCTGCCCACAGAAGTGGAGCCTACAGAGGCAGGCAGGCCTCCTTGAGCTGTGGTGGGCTCCACCCAGTTTGAGCTTCCCGGCTGCTTTATTTACCTAAGCAAGCCAGGGCAATGGCAGGTGCCCCTCCCCTAGCCTCGCTGCCGCCTTGCAGTTTGATCTCATACTGCTGTGCTAGCAATCAGCGAGACTCCGTGGGCGTAGGACCCTCTGAGTCATATGCAGGATATAATCTCCTGGTGTGCCGTTTTTTAAGCCTGTTGGAAAAGGGCAGTATTAGGGTGGGAGTGACCTGATTTTCCAGGTGCTATCTGTCACCCCTTTCTTTCACTAGGAAAGGGAACTCCCTGACCCCTTGCGCTTCCTGAGTGAGGCAATGCCTTGCCCTGCTTTGGCTCACGCCCGGCGCGCTGCACCCACTGTCCTGCACCCACTGTCTGGCACTCCCTAGTGAGATGAACCCGGTACCTCAGATGGAAATGCAGAAATCACCCGTCTTCTGCGTCACTCACGCTGGGAGCTGTAGATCGGAGCTGTTCCTATTTGGCCATCTTGGTGCCACCCCAATATCTATACTCCTTATGAAATAATAGAAATAGAAGGTATATCTAATTTTTCTGACTCTTGTAAAAGGAGTAAAATGATAAGGGAAAAACTAATGTTGGAACGAGGGAAATTCATAAAAACAAACATCAGCATCAAAAGTCTTGCAAGCTGCCTGTTCCAAAAAGCACCACATTTCATAGGGCAAAAAGAGCCTCTGCCTCCATCCCATGCTTCAGAGCAGTGCTTCTCAAACTTCAATGGGCATACTTACAGATCCACTTAAAATTCATATTCTGGTCCAGTAGATCTGAGGCAGGCTTGAGCTTCTGCATTTCTTATGAAATCCTAGGTGAATGTTTCTTAAGCTCAACACCACTAGCATTTTGCACCAACTGATTCTTTGTTTTGGGGACCGCTCTTGTGTACCATAGATTTTTTTTAGCAGCATTTCTGGATTCTACCTACTGGTTGCTACTAACACTCTCCTGAGCAGTTGTGACAACTGAAAGCCCCTCCAGATGAGGTCAGATGTACTTGGGAACTATTGTTTTAGGAGATGCTGATGCTGCTGGTTCTAAGGAGAGAGATCTTTAGAGGGCTCCACCTGGTATCTCCATATTTAATTCACTTTTCCACAGAGTAAGAATTCTCTGGGTTATGAGAAGGATACATCCTAAGCCTATGCTTCCCTACTTCATGATGCTCTAGGTAACTAAAACTTGGGGATTTCCTGCTAACATGATCTTGACTTCCTTCCAAAATTCATGGTGCTCCGTCTACTGGATCGGTTTCCCCAAGGAGTGCGTATGTCACTAGGCATATATGTAACCCTTGGCTTTCAGCAGGGTTGGCCAAGGAGAGATGTTCTGAAAATGGGTGGACAGAGCTGAGGCATGTGTGTTGGGATGTCCACATGGATGCATTTCTATCGCAGCACATGAATAATTGAAATGGAGAGGAAAAGCCTATGGGGAGTCACAGAGTGGAGCTGAGGCCATGTCCTCCCCATACTGCCATCTTTTAGTGAAGAAACTTAAAAGTCTAAAAATTTTAATTTCAAGTTTGACTTTCTAGGTCAATGTGAAGGCATACTTATCGAAATAGGATGGTACAACATATTTAATTGAATGATTTTGGGGGATTGATTTATTATTTTAAAATGAATCACATATATGCCTCCATTTAACTCTTGCCTTGAGAGGCCATAAATGCTAAGGACTGTCTTAGTTTCAGAGTTGGTGGAGAATTCTGAATGTTTGATATCACAATAAGGTCCTGATGACGGGGGAATAAAGAAAGTCTTTTTTTTTTGTTTTTTTCAGAAGAGAAAATTCAGTTGCTTAACCTGAAAAACACGTTGGGGATTATAAAGCGTAGCACAAAATGTAAAGCTTAACCTGGAACACAGTTTCTCATGAGTCTATTTTACTCAAAGACCATTTTCATTGTGCTGCGTTAGACATTGGCAAGTTTTGCTGTAAAGTGTCAAATAGTAAATATTTTAGGCTTGGCAGGCTAAACAACTCTGATGGAACTACTCAATGCTGTTGTAGCTAGAAAGCAGACATAGATAATACATAAAGGGATGTTTGTGGCTGTCTTTTAATAAAACATATATTTTTTAAAAAACTGGCTGCATTTTTCTAATCCTTGTGTTATGTTCCCCCTCAGTACAAAGGGACTTTAAGGTAGCATGTTAGTGTGACACAATATTAACTGTTAAAATCAATCTATTCACTATGGAGAAGGTACAGATCAAAATACATGAGCCAGATTTTTGAATTTTTGCCCACTTAGTCTCAGAATCTTGACTGTAATAGTATTTGTCTTCTATTTAGATATGATAATCTCTCTGTAATGATGCATAAAGGTGCTTTTGTAACATGAGACTGATAAAGACATACATACATACCATGCACACATACATACATAAACAAAAAAATAAAACTGACTGAAGGCACACTCTGAGATAAAATCATATATAAGTCGGGCGTGGTGGCTCACGCTTGTAATCCCAGCACTCTGGGAGGCCGAGGCAGGCAGATCACCTGAGGTCAGGAGTTCCAGACCAGTCTGGCCAACATGGTGAAACCCTGTCTCTACTAAAAATACAAAAATTAGCTGGGTGTGATGGTGGGTGCCTATAATCCCAGCTACTCGGAAGGCTGAGGCAGGAGAACAGCTTGAACCCAGGAGGCAGAGTTTGCAGTGAGCCAAGATAGGGCCATTGCACTTCAGCTTGGACAACAAGAGCGAGACTCTGTCACACACACACAAAAAATCATATATAATGAATATTGAGTTACCTTAAATTTGACATAAATTTATCAATACTTCTTCATTTTGAATTGGCATAAATCTTTAAAATAAGATTCTAAAAGAATGTATTTTTTTTGTTCTATTCTGAATTATTTTTCAATTTGTGTTTTCTAAGTTTTCTTGATACAGGTCTATGTATTGTACTTTTCTCAACTCACTTCACTGTATGTCAGGATGTCATTCTCTACTACAGAGATACATTGGGGATAGAGGAGGCCAAGTTCCAGACAACTGGAATAAAGTGAAAATTACAATAAAGTTAGCCAAAACTTTTTTGGTTTCCGAATGTATATAAAAGCTATGTTTATGCTGTATGGTAGTCTACTAAGTATTCAATATCGTCATGTCTAAACATTACTGTATATACCTTAATTAAAATATTTTGTTGCTAAAAATTCCTATAATCATGTGAACCTTAAGCCAGTCATAATTTTTTTTTCTGGTGGAGGGTATTGACTTGATGCTGACGGCTGCTGACTGATCAGGGTGGTGCTTGCTGAAGGCTGGGATGGCTGTGACAATTTCTTAAGACAACGGTGACATTTTCTGTATTAACTCCTCCTTTCAGAAAATACTTCTCTATAGCATGGGATAATGTTCGACAGCATTTTACCTATGATAGAACTTCTTTCAAAATTGGAGCCAATCCTCTCAAATTCTGCTGCTTTATCAGCTAAGTTTATATAATATTCTCAATCTTATATTGTTATTTGAACAATGTTCACAACATCACAAGGAATAGATTTCATCTCAAGAAACCACTTTCTTGACTTGTTCATAAGAAACAACTTCTCATTCATTCACGTTCTGCATGAGATTGTAGCAATTTAGCCTCATATTCAGGCCATAGTTCTAGTTCTAGTTCTCTTGCTATTTCCAATATATCTACAGAAACTTCTTCCACTAACACTTGAGCCTCTCAAACTATTTATAAGAGTTGGAATTAACTTCTTTCAAACTCCTGTTAATGTTGATATTTTGACCATCTCTCACGAATCATGAATGTTCTTAATGGTATCTAGAATGTTGGATCTTTTCCAGAAGGTTTTCAATTTCAGATACATGAGAGAAAGATCAAAATATTTAATTTAAATTAATTAATTTAATCTTCTATTTATGACAGCTATATCCTTATGGAATGTATTCCTTAAATAATAAGACTAGAAATTTGAACTGACTCCTTGATCTATGGGCTGCAAATGGATGTTGTGTTAGCAGGCGTGAAAAAAAAAAGTTAACCTCCTTGTATCATCAGAGCTCTTGGGTGAGTAGGTACATTGTCAATGAGCACTAATGTTCAGAATGAAATCTTTCTTTTTAAGCAGTTGGTTTCAACAGTGGGCTTAAAATATCCAGTATGGGCTTAAAATATGCAGTAGACTATACTGCAAAATAGATGTGCTGTCATCCAAGCTTTGCTGTTCAATTTGTAGAAGACAAGCAGAATATATTTAGTATCATTCTCAGGGGTCCTAGGATTCTTGGAATGGTAAATAATGGTAAATGAGCATTGGATTAAACTTAAAGTCATCAGCTGCATTATCCCCTAACAAGAGGTCAGTGTTTCTTTTGAAGCTCTGAAGACAGGCATTGAGTTGTCCTCTCTAGCTGTGAAAATCTGAGATGGCATTTTTTTTCCAATATAATGTTGATTTGTCTCATTGAAAAAGTCTTGTTTAGCTACCTTCATCAATTATCTTAGCCAGGTCTTCTGGATAACTTGCTTCATCTTCTACATCAGCACTTGCTGTTTCACCTTGCAATTTTACGTTACGAAGGTGGATTTCTTTTCCTATACCTCATAAACCCACTTCTACTAGCCTCACACTTTTCTACTGAAGCTTCCTCACTTCTCTCAGATTTCAAAGCATAAGGAGAGTTACAGCCTTTCTCTGGATTAGGCTTTAGTTTAAAGGAATGCTGTGGTTGGTTTAATCTTCTATTCAGTTCACTAAAACTTTCTCTATGTAAGCAATGAGACCATTACACTTTCTTATCATTATGTGTGTTCACTAGAGTAGCAATTTTAATTTTTTAGGGTTAATTTCCTGGGTTTTGTACCCAAGTTAAGATTGTTATTGTTTTTTGGTTCAGTGGGAACAGGAAGGGTACTATAATCTCCTACTATTGAAGGAGAGTAACTTACTAATTGCAATATGAGTTAAAACTGATTCTCCTATTGGGAAAAATATGGAAGAGATCCAATTTCTGAAGCAAAATCATTATATACCTTTCTTGGCAGCTGCAGCTCACCATCACGTGGGCTATTAAGGCTGTTATATAGTTGTATATAGCAGTATAAGAAGAATTACCCCTTTTTTTCATTTTGCAGCCAATTCTAAATTTCTTAATAATTTTTGTATGAGGGCCTAAAGGTTTTGCATTTCTCATAGTAGAATAACTGTTTAACAGTGTCTTTTTGGTTCAAGATATCTGTATGCAACCACATGACATAACCTATTCAGATAGAACCCCCCCACACACACACCCTTGAAAAAAGGAATTAAAAATTGAAAATGAGTACTATATTCTCATTTTCTGTCTTTCACTTGCAATATACGTCAGGCTCTGGTAGGGGAGAGAGGCAGGCTGATAAAACATTTGCAAGGCAGTGAAAATGTGTTCAGGCTAATAGATTCAAAAATACATCTGCAAGGCCAAAAGGAAATATATTATACAGAGTACAACAAGAAAAGTGCTCCAATGATGGAAAACCAAGGTTCCCTGCTTATTTCTACCTAAAACACCTTTAAGGTCCTAATTCTTCTTTTTTTGTAGCTAACACATTTCCAAAACTCTGCAATTATCACACATGAGTAAAGCAGTGAAAATGTGCTATGCTTTCTACAGAAATTCTCAGGCTATCCTTGATAATAATAATGGTGATGGACAGGAGTTTTATTTCTGGAAGCACGGTCACCATGTAAAACCAAGTTATCAGATTTCAGGGCCAAAAAGAACATTTTGTTGGATGTAATAGTTATAAATCATTCCTCTCTAGAATACTGGAAGTTGTGGCTTTTAGCAAAGAAATACATCAAATGTAGTTTAATATTGATTTTTTTCCCTTCAGAAATGCATTCCAACCAAGAGGACCCCAAAGCTTAGTAAATCTACATGTAATTTTTATGCAGACTACAGTTACACTTTTCTCCTTATTTTATTGAGAAATGTTTGTGACAATTCATTCAATTTATTCTCCTAAATCTGACTTGCTTTTCATAGGAGAGCATCATGAGGACTGTGGCCTCAGATTTATTGGGAATATCAGAGTATGTGTATTGGAAAGAAGTGAATGATCCCCTGAGTAAATGCAACACTCACCACAGGTCCCCTGTAAAGCTTCCTCCCTCAAGATGTGTCTAATACATAGGTTACCATACTTTCTAATGTGAGGCTCCAACACTCAAACAATAAATGATTGGACTATGGACAAAAAGATAACCCTCTGATAGGCTATGCAACTGTCTTATTGGATTTTGTCTTAAAATACAAAGGAAGAAACTAAACTAGTAGCAAAATATTAAATCTAAAATGTATAGATGTCATAAGAAAATGGAAGGTACAAATAAGCATGAACCTTAAAGTAGAATGAACTTTATATCAAATGCCTTCCATAAAACTTTTCGCATGGTGTTCATAGACAAGAAAAATGATTGCACCATGACACAAATATGGAAAATGCTGGGTTAAATTACCTTGAATTTGGTTTTCAAACTTCAAGCCTTCTCAGCATATTTAAAGTAAAAATATGAATTATGAATCTCAATAGAGAGTAATAGTCAAAATGTTGCCTGTAGATTTCAAGTTATGTTGTAAATCAGCTTGTTAACATATCATAAAATACTAGATTAACATGAATACAGTGTATACAATGCTGAAATATTGAAAAGAATATGAAGGAGAAAGAGACAGACAGAGATAAAGATAATTTTTTTTAAAAATGGAGAGGCACTGAATCACCCACAATTGGTGAAAAGATAGAGCTGGCTAAAATAGAGAGCAATGGACACAGGTTTCAGGAAGATGACAAGTTACCATATCACTACACTATTGCTTTGCTTAAAAGATCTTGAATGCTACTGAATTTTACTTCAGTTTTATAAAGGTGTGCTCTGAAATTCCAAACTCTCTCTTATTCTATTATCCTTATTAGAATAGCCATTAATTGAACATGTAAGATCAACATGAAACAATTTATTTCAAAGTTTCATCTAAGAACAGACTTTGTTCCCTAATTGGGTGGACATTTTAATGGAGATATTTAAATGAATGCAAAGGGTATGGATTAAAAATTCCAAGCTTGATTGTTGCCTCCTGCCTTTCCTTGAACCATCAGTGAAGAAATGGGAGCCTCCTAGACAGTAGTACCATGGAGGGTTGGTGCTTTTCTACACCAAGTAGAGTAATAAAGTTGGGAATAGACAGACCGTGGTGTGGCAGTAGTTGTGACTACCAAACCAGGGCCTTCCATTAGGCTTAGATTAATGGAAGAGAATAGTCATTATGTTATCATTGTTATTCTCTACTTCTTCTTTCTTTTTTTTTTTTTTTTTGAGACGAAGTCTCTTCTGTCGCCCAGGCTGGAGTACAATGGCACGATCTCAGCTCACTGCAACCTCCGCCTCCCGGGTTCAAGTGATTCTCCTGCCTCAGCCTCCTGAGTAGCTGGGATTACAGGTGCATGCCATCATGCCTGGCTAATATTTGTATTTTTAGTATAGACGGGGTTTCACTGTGTTGATCAGACTGGTCTGGAACTCCTGACCTCGTGATCTGCCTGCCTCGGCCTCCCAAAGTGCTGAGATTACAGGGATTACAGGCATGAGCCACCGTGCCTGGCCTCTCCTTCTTCTTTCTAAGAGAACCCTCACCACCACCACCACCGCCGCCATCACACAAAATTATTGGAGGTAGCAATTTGTCTAGTTAAAAAGTAGTGTTTACCAGCTTTCTTTGTAAATGTATGTGGGCAATACGACATTAACACAAGTAGGAGGCGGGGGTTCTTAGGAAACTCTCTTTGTCCTTCCCTTTTCTTTTTTTTTTTTCTGCCTGTTGCCTGGAATGTGATTATGGAGGCTTAAGTGCCTTCAGCCATTTTTGGGAGTGGAAGGCCAAGACTTGTACAAATCAGATCTCTCATGTTTAAAAAGCTGCTAAACCAAAGCTAGAATCCACCCACCTTCATATTTCTGATTGCAAAGAAAAAAGACTTCTCTCTTTTTATAGTCAGATATTTTTAATTGAGTATTTTGAGGCCTCTGTTTATAGATGCCTACCCTCATTCCTAACTGGATAGCTTGGTCTCACTAGGTATCGAAGAATGGCAAAGACTAGGGACATAATGTGTTATCTCAGACTGCTCAACGTTATGGCCCCTAGGCTTCCATGTGTCTTAACAATTACTGGTTTCTTATTGCCTCCTAATTAGAGAGCCCGGCACTTAGGGGCTATCAGGTTACCTAGGCACAGGTAACGTTTTACAATATGTAGCTCTAAATCCATGATGCACTCAATTGAAACACAGCCTTTTCACTTGGGTCCGAAGTCTTGCATTAAAGTCAATTGCCATCAACTTGTTTTATATTTAAGAGTACAGGATACTACTAATCAAAGATATAACTTTATAATAAAAAGGGAAACATTTTTTGAAGTGACACTTGTTTTTCAGACCCAAATACAAGACAATAAGTTCCATGTCAATACTGGGTAGATCCTGAACATGTTAATAGTGGGTAGGTCCTGACCATGTTAAGTTCCCAGATTCGTGTCAATTCTGGGTAGATCCTGAACATGTTAAGTTCCATGCAACTTAAAGAACATAACTAACACAGAGAGCAGAAACTATGATTTCTTGTCCTTATACCACATTTGAAGGATTCTTGGTATTAAAACAAATAATGCTTTTATTTTTATGTTCTATCATGTGATGACTGTAGATAAATTTTTACTAATATTTGAAGAAGAGATTACCATAAAATGTCATGTTATACTTTTGAAGATATGTGTGTGTGTGTGTGTGTGTGTGTGTATACAAATGTTCATTAGAAACCCAACATGCCTTTATACAGAAGGAATTAAGGGATGGAAATAAGTCTTCTGAGAACAGATAATGGTAGAAAATTTAAGAAGGCTTGGATATAACTGGAGATGAAAGATTGGATAGGTATATTATAACTCTTAGACCTATAAGTTATGTCTATAGTTATAACTAGCTTTCAATTAATATAAGTATTGATATATGTATTTGCAACCAGTATGTTACAAAAACTTGAGTTTTGCATGCAATCATGAAAGCCATTGATTTTTGTCACCATTGTCACTTCAGGATTTATTAAGAGAGAAAAACTTTTCCTCTGCCATTGGATAAAAACACCAAAGGAAAGACAGGACCCCCCTATCTTTTCTTGTCACTCATAAGTAATAAAAAACTAAATTTCCATTTAACTAACAAATAATTAGTTATATTCTTGATTATAAAATGAGTCCATTATTTATTATCTGATTTTCATTCAAAGGAAAGACCACTGACACAGACTTCCCAACTAGGCCTGGCCTTAGTTTATTAATTCCTTTGCTCCAGAGCTTTCTGGATTTGGAGTATAGGGAAGAAAGCAGGAAAGTCAGGCAGCACGTCTTTACCATCTGCCTTGTCTTTGCATTCTGGGGGTTTGCTATTAATTAAGGAAGAAACGTTTTTACATGGGAATATTCTTGTTTTCTATGGAGGATTCTGGGTGGGACCCTCTGATTTTGATGCCCAAACTCACTCTGCTTCAACATGCTGCTCCTATTCTCCCCTCAGACTCTGATTTCTGTCTTTCTACTCCTCTTAGACTCTCTCTGCTAGATCGTCCTATGTTATCTAGGATACCCCTATTAGACAAACTCCCAAAGTGATCATGCAATATGCTGACCTGTGGTTCTGTATTTGTTCCCCAAGATTCACATCCCTGGACAAACTACTGGAGGAGGGTGCAATTATGTTCTTTAGGAGCAGTACTTAACTTTGTGGTACCTGCTGCTCAGAGCCATTGCCATCCTCCACCTTTAGAATACTCAGACTAGTGTATTATGGGGATTGAAACAGATCAGGAAATATGCAAAAGTATTAACAGTTGTTATTTCCTAGTCCTGGTTACATAGAAGCTTACATTTTCTTTCTCTGTATTTTCCAAATTATCTACGATGTGACACAAAATACATTTAAACCAATAATATATTTAAAGTAATAACCAAGAAAAACTATAATGCGTGTGACAATTAACTCAATGTTTTAAATTGATAATAAATAAGATTTTGAAGAACCTTCTAAGAAGTAAAAGGAAATCAGCAAATGAACTTAAACAAACCACAAAAATCTGTTTGAGGAAGGATTTTAGGAAAATATGTGCTCAAAAGACCAGAGATAAGAAAGGAGACAAATCACTTCCAAACCTCTAGAAGCTTATACAGAAATAAATAAGAAGCCAATGGTTCGGACATATTTACGTAGAATATTATCTGGTGTGAGAATCGGGCTTAATAACTGTATTTTCAATGAATCACTGAGAAGAATCATTACTTATTAGGTTCAATATGAGAAAGAAAGAAAAGGGAATCAAGACATTCTTATGAAATCGTAACAGGTATCTTGTGATGTGAATGTCTGTCTATAGGAGGGCCAATGAATACACATTTATATATTAAAACACACACACATATACATACACCTACACAAAACAAGTTCTATAGGCTAGGGTTATTAAAGAAAGATTTTTCTTCACCAAAGATAATGGAGTTAATAATTTCGTATTCAAAAGTAGTTATTTTTAATATACATGGTAGGAAAAAATCAAAAGATAAAATTACAGAGTATATTTTCATTTATAAAGCCTGTTTTATTTGTAAAATATTTTATTTATAAATTGATGCATATGTGATTATCAATTTATTGGTTTCACATCTATACACACATTTACTTTCAATTATAATGGCAAATATATATACACAGAGAATGAAAGACGTATATTCATATATAAAATAAGTATACATATATTATGTCATATATGATATTCAGAATACATATAAATATACATAAAGAATCAAGACATATACACAGAAATATATAAGCTTCATATGTATATACACACATATATATATTACACATTTATCCTAATAAAAATTATATAAGATAAGGTAACATAATTTCAGTGATAAATAGAACGAAAAGTCAATCAGCACTGAGTGAGTTGGTTAAAGCATAGAAAATATAGAGAGCTTACATCTATCAAGGACAATTACTCAGAATATCATTGGAATATAAACCTCAAAAACAGCCTCTGAAGATATATGTAAAGTAGATGAGAAGAGTGGAAAGAATGAGAGGTTTTATGCTATATCATCCTCCATTAAATTCTGTACATGCCATGGACCAGTGTTGGCAGGTTATTGATTTTACCTCCTTCCTTAAAGTTGATACTGGTATTGTCCTGATCTTCCCAGGCTATGGAATAGTGAAAAGCCATCTGATACTTGGTATCTTTAACTTTTAATTCTGGCTTCTCAGAAACATGTTCTAATCAATTGAGGTAAATCTGAACAACCAGTATGCTTCATCAATCAGGACATTTAATTTGCAAATAAAAAAGAAACAACGGTAAAGAAAATCATAGGGGGATGAATTCATCAACTACCCCATCTGTTGTCCCTTGGGTACCATTTTGTTTTGTTTTACTTTCTCTGTCATGGTAGGTGTGTTTAGTTTGTGTACAATTTCCAGAGCCTATGTTTTTAGTAAATTGTGATTAAATTTTGATACCAAGAACATTCCTGTATAATGTAACTCCATGCAATTTTTTTCTATTCATTTACAGACCATATGGAGGGATTGAGGAAGTAGTTGGAGCTTCTATTTTTCAGTTTTAATTTGTAAAGAGATTATTTAGGGGCTAATCATAGCAGTATACTGCAAAGATGACCTGCAGTGAAGATCTTTCTATAAAAGATTTAAAATGCACTCAAGGTGTTGGCTTCCTCTTTAAATTGCTGCTAATATTATTTTCCTTATTTCAGACTATTTCTCAGAAATGCTCATTTTACTTTCAAATAGTTTCAAATCAGTCTTCTAATTGTTATCACAACAATCTGTGAGCTTTATAGGGCTGGTATAGTCCTTGCTTAATACATGTGAAAAATAAAGTGCAGAGATCTTAAGGTGATTTTTTCATGGTTTACAGTGACAGTAAACCAGATATCCTTATCCCGAGTCTATAGTATTTTTGTTTGACTCAAAGCATCAAAGTGATGCAGTAGGACATCACCTTCTTCTTACTGTCAGTTGCTAGATAATTAAATTTGTTAAGAGTCAGGTCTTTGTTGAAAATCATATGGAGAATTTGTCTCCTATAATGACAAAACAATCACAGAATATAGCCATCTCATCTTCAAGGAAGCATTGAACACAGATTTGAGATTCAAAATATACTATAGCAAATTCCATAAAACCCACCTGTTTTTTAAAGAGTTTATTTGAAATCCACATTAAACTGAGAAATTATTCAAGGAGCCCAGTGAAATAAAAAAAAATGTTGAAAATTACTATAAAGATGTCTTGAAGTTTAAAAGCTTTGTCCAAAGAAGCTTGAAACCTCTTTGTAATTTTTCTCTTCTGCCTATTTTAGTTACAGGAGCTCCTGAAATTTTCTTTCCTGGGTGTGAAATTTAATTGATCTGTATACTAATGCTACTTTTATTATTATTATTGTTATTTGACAGGGTCTTACACTGTCACCCAGGCTAGATTACAGTGGTACAATGGGACTCACTGCAGCCTCAACCTACAGGGATAGAGTCATCCTTCCACCTTTACCTCCCAAGTAGCTGGGACTACAGGCACACACCACGATGCCTGGTTGATTTTTTTTATTTGTATTTTTGACACAGACAGAGTCTCACTAGGTTGCCAAGTCTGGGTTCGAACTTTTGGCCTGAAGTAATCCTCCCACCTCAGTCTCCCAAAGTGTTGGGATTACAGGCGTGAGACAGCACACCCAGCCTTCTACTTTTATTATTAAAAAGTAATTTAGATATCTGATTGTATCCCAAGCTCTCACTTTGTTCCTGATTCTAAGTATTCTTTTACTATATAGAAATAGCAAAGCTAATACAAACATAAAAGTTAATTCTCATTAATATTAACATTCCAGCAAAAATGTTTTCAAAATTAAAGTGAGAACTAGTTTCCTTCAATATACCATGTGTTATAGTTAAATTATCTTTGCATCCATATAATATCTACCTTCTTGCTGAAAGCATACATGTTTAGTTGTACAAATAGGTAATAAAATGCAGTTGGAACAATGGTGGGAGGAAATCTCTATGTAGTCTTGGAGTAGCTGAGTGTCCTTATCAATTGACTTGAGCACAAGAATAATTTTAAAAGCACTACTAACTTTCTAATGGAACCATACAGAGACTTCTTTTGTGATATGAAGAATCCCTTCCATATGTAACAGTTTATTCCCTAATTAAAATTTGCAATTTGTGTAAACAAGTTTCATTAACTGAAGCACATTTATATATCATAGATATGACCTTATCTTTGTAATAGCTATCAAATAATAAGTAAATGCTTCTCTGTAATAAGTTTAATTTTATCCATCCTGGCCCAAGTGCAAAGGTGCACCCTTGCCAAATAATAGCTTTATACAATGTGTCAGACAGGTAAACTCTAGGGAAATAACAGCGTTGGACAGATCAGCCTGGAATGAGCTATCAGCAAAGAGGCCTCTTTTTCAAAATTCAAAATTACCAAACTGAAAATGCAAGTGGATTTCAATTATAGGCTGTAGCTTTTAGAGAGGTATTGTTCTGTTGTGGGTTTTTTTTTTTTCCTTTCCATTTATATACAGGAAGCAATCACTGTCAGCATCATCAACATGAAATATGAATGACAGTGATGTGTGAATACTGAGGCTCACCAAAGACAGTTACAGTAGGGGTTATGAAGAAGGGGAAGAATTTGGGAGATGAGATGAAGCTAAAAGTGACAAGTAAGGCAAAAAATAGATGGATAGAATTTCTTTTTAAAGGACTCTGAGGTTTACAATTTAAGAAGAGGTGAGGTGACAAGGCCTTAATGAAAGATGAGTAGCTCAGCTGTGCTACTGTAAAGCAATAAATGCAAATGTGTCATTAATGTGAGGCCTTTATTTACATAAACTTAAAAATAATAACAATAACCAAACAGTAATAAATAGCAGGTAAAATAAAAAATTAGAAAAATAAAAGCATATCATTTCTTCTATTGTGTTTTTATTGTTCTATAAAAATGGAAATCTTGATCCTTTAAGAAATTTGTTCTTTGTAGAATTGTATGGAACAAATGGGAGACTGATAGTTTCTAGTAAAGAATTTGATCCTATTATGAAATTGAAATACAGCTTCAAAAGGCATGGAGCTGGACAGGTATAGACATGGGGAAAATCATGAAATGGCTTCATTCTGTCTGGGAAAAGCTTGTCACAGAAAAACTGAAAATCTCAACCACTCTCTTTTTCACACCACCCTCCCTTTTTCCTTGAACATGAAGCTACGTAGAGCAAATGCCAGTCTTCTGTGTCAAAAAGACAGGTAACGATTGGATGGTGAGATATACAGAGTGGGCTGGATGGTGAGATATACAGAGTGAAGCACAGCCCAGCAAAATGAAAATATCACATTTTATAGCTGAAAGATACATCAAAGATTATTCAATGCACTACTATAGCTTAAGACGAGAAAACTATGGCCTGGGAACCAGATGTGAGACACTCTATTTTACCAATGATAAATGACCGAAGCATATATGGTGTATTAGTCCATTTCACACTGCTGATAAAGACATACCCGAGACTGGGCAATTTACAAAAGAAAGAGGTTTGATGGACTTACATTTCCACATGGCTGGGGAGGCCTCACAATCAGAGCAGAAGGGGAAAGGCAGGTCTCACATGGCAGCAGACAAGAGAAGAGAGCTTGTTCAGGGAAACTTCCCTTTTTAAAACCATCAGATCTTGTGAAAGTTATTCACCATCATGAAAACAGTGCAGGAAAGACCCACCCCCATAATTCAATTGCCTCCCACTGGTTTCCTCCTATGACATATGGGAATTGTGGGAGTTACAATTCAGAATGAGATTTTGGTGGAGACACAGCCAAACCATATCCTAATGGCTTAAGCATTTTTCATTTTAGAAGACTACACATGTTTTGAAATTTATAACCTTTAGGTAAATATTTTTTACCTTGGGTGGTGAGCTACTTCTCAGGTCTTTCTAGCCACATTGTTATGCAAAATTGCTGATGCTGAAATGTGCTGAAATATATAGTCAGAACCAGCCAGCTGAAGTCTGGCCAATGTAGTCCAGCAATGTACATTACTCAAGAGGGAAAGAATAAAATGTATCCAGGCGTTCTGGAAAAAGTTGATGCTCAAGGAATCCAAACACATCAGTGATAGAGAATGTGAAACAGATTCTGTGTAAAGCCAGCCATAAAGGAAAAAGAAGGGAATAGAATCTAGGAAGACCAAACTCAATTGCTCTAAGAGGTCAAATATGTAGGTCCAAGTCTTAGTCCCACTGTGATATGATAATTGCTCTTAGGATAGATAATGTTATCTTATGACTTAGTGTGATGGATTCTCCTCAGTGTGGACTGGTCAATACTAGTAAGAAAATATTGTTTTCCGGGGCGTGACACCCGCTTATAATTGATATTCTTTGGTATGAGGCAGACTAAAGAATGTGTACTAGTGCAAACACTGGGCATTGTTAGAATCCTTTTTATTCCTAAAAAAAAAAGGGAGAACTGAAAGGTCCTAATCATGCAAAGTAGTGATGTCTGCAACTATGCAAATTAGAGACATTTTAACAGAATTAACTCATTTTACATAAGAAATGGGATTGGGAAAATAAGAGACCCTGGAAGCTGGGGAAAGGTGTAGCAAGCTGCAGGGAGCTGTAGATTACAGGGAGGTTGGAGATAAGGGTAGGTAACTCTTTGAAATAGAGAAAGATGAATATAAGGTGGGAAAAAGAGAAAACAGACACCTTTATAGAACTTTGATTCACTTTTGTGCTGTGGGTTTTAATGTTACACTCACCTCTATTATCAAGGAGCTACTTACTCAACAGTGCTTTGGGGACTGGATTTATGTTGCTCATTCAGATATAATGAAGTGCTGAGGCAGATATCCAGGCCAGGAAAACTATGAAGGCTGAACTACAAAGGATGTAGAGACAAACATGGGTTATTGTGAGAGAAAGAGTCTCTAAGAAGAGAAGGGACGTGTTGATTACCATTTCCAAAAACCTATTTTTATACCTTCAAATGTAATCCCAAATTTTAACTAGGCATTTTCTTTGTCTTGGAATTTTAAGTGTTTACCTTAGAAAACAAGTTCATGGAAATGTGTGTTCAAACATTACACTCTACTGGGAGTCCAGCAGCATAAAATATAAAACCATAAACCGTGTATTTCAGGGAAAGTTAATTCATCACCTTATATGAAACTATAGAGAATAAATCAAATGTTCACCTAAGAATTGAGTAATGATACATTTACACATATTTCAAATAGCATGTCTAAGTTTACTTATATAGCCTTTTGCAACTACTACATGATGATGATACCACATGAACCTTTGGACCTGATCAAAGTTAAGTCAAATTATGTAATGTTTATTTAAATGTGGAGAAAAAAAGATTCATAGACTTTTAAAATCATGGAGTGAATTCCTAAAGTATATGAAAATAAATCGGAACACATTATCAAGATTTAGAGAAAAAACTGGAAAAAATACATTATTTTTTTCATTGTTAAGACCAATACAAACAAAACCTTTAAAACTTATCACCAGGCTGGGCATGGTGGCTCATGCCTGTAATCCCAGCACTTTGGGAGGCTGAGGAGGGCAGATCACCTGAGGTAGGGAGTTCGAGACCAGCCTGAACAACATGGAGAAACCCCGTGTCTCCAGGTTCTTTGATGTTTCCAAGTCTTCCAACACAGCTAGTGTGTTTGCCTAGTTCTCTTGGAAATTGTCCTTTATTTTAAAAATAATTTTAATAAGTCAGTTAATATTATTCTGTACCTACATAATTGAAACAGTCAGGTTTTTCTCCTTACCCCACCTTGGTGTTCTAAAAATAGGGCAATTGCATATGCTAGCTTATTTCTTTTTTTTAAAACCAATCAACTTCAGTATGTTGTAAAAATACAAAATTTTTTCAGTATTTGTAAAAATATAAAATTAGCCAGGCATGGTGGTCCATGCCTGTAATCCCAGCTGCTCGGGAGGCTGAGGCAGGAGAACTGCTTGACCCCGGGAGGCAGAGGTTGCGGTGAGCTTGCACTCTAGCCTGGGTAACAAGAGCAAAACTCTTTCTCAAAAACAAAAACAAACAAACAAACAACAACAAAAAAAAAACAGAAAAACTTATCACTTGAGAAACTTTCGTGAAATCTTTCATTCCTGATGCTGTTAAATACTCACTTTAAAAAGAATCAAGAATGATTATGGATATCATCAAATACACATTGATAACTTCAGTAAGGATTTCAGATTTCAAGGTTTTTAATATATAAAATCATCACATTTTATAGTTTAGATTTTATTGCTGGATTTGTAATGAATTGGTCATAAAATCATTTCCTTTAGTTCCTTTTTTATTATGATTATATGGTTAGATATGTTATTGAAAAATTGACATTATTTTACAATTGCAGGAGATTACCATGAAAACTGGCAAATTCTTTGGAGCAAACAATCATAATTGGGGTCTAGGGGGAGGTGTATGGTATTGAACACTAATTATACTCCAGAAATGCTGGATTGGTGGTTGACATTTTTATTAAAATAAAAATACAGAAAAAATTACCTGTTTCTAGCATGAAATTTGTTATTTACCACCAAGCTTTGGTTTTCAAAATTGCACTTATCATAATGTCTAATAGAAAACCTGAACCTTACAATAAAATAGCACAATTACATTGGAGGAAAATAATATTAAATACTGAACCATTTGCTTTGTTTTTTTTAACTATTGTAATTCAAATAGAAATATTTTTATTACATACTGAAGTTGATTGGTTTTAAAAAAAGAAATAAGCTAGCATATGCAATTGCCCTATTTTTAGAACACCAGGGTGGGGTAAGGAGAAAAACCTGACTGTTTCAATTATGTAGGAACAGAATAATATTAACTGACTTACTAAAATGATTTTTAAAATAAAGGACAACTTCCAAGAGAACTAGACAAACACACTAGCTGTGTTGGAAGACTTGGAAACATCAAAGAACCTGAAGCTTCAAGAGTCAAACACAAAGATTATAGCTCATTACTATATACCTCAAGTATTGACTGAAAACTGCTAAAAATTAGTGATGAAATTGTCTCCATTTTCTTGATTTGATGAAGTGCTTAAGGACAAGGTTCTTGAACATGATTTTTAAGCAAAACATCAAAATTCAATAGCCTTCTTGTAAGATTACTTGAGATAATTTTTGCTTTATGTTTTGCCTGAGTCTTCCATTTGGAAGTTTGTAAATGACCACATAGGATAACTATTGTGAGATTTTGTTGAAATGATTTTTACTAAGTGATCTTTTATCTCAAACATATATAAGGTGAAGGAGGTCAGCAATAATGAATGCAACTATTATCTATCAATTTTTACACATTGAATAATAAAATATTTATTATTCATGTTATTAATCTTATCTTTTATTGCTACCTTTATCCAAGTATTTTTAAGGACACAGCAACTAATGCTAATTTTATAACTTGTATAATCAGTAGCATGCATGGAACAATATACGTTTACCAAATTTTCTCCTATCTTATGAACCAGATCAGTAGGCATGTATTTATAATTAAAGAACTGAACATAATGCTTCAGATCACCCTCACTCATCTTGACCCTAAGAGATTCCCTATCAACATGTTCTCATGGCCAAGAGTCTTTGAAAAATGTGCAAAAGCAGGATATTTTCACCACAATTTTTTAAGACCTATTTTTCTTTCCAATCCAACTTCCCATATGTCACGTACTTTTCTTCTGTCAAATGACTCATATTACAAAATTGAAATGGTATGAAGAGCTGATTAAAGAAAACACAACTAAAAGTGTATGAAGAAAAATCGTATGTGATAAACATTCATTATGTCTTTGCTACTCAGCTAGGCTCTTTAGGGATAATCTTATTTCTCCTACATGAAAGCCCTTTGAATCACATGTTCGTATAATCATTTAAAAATTATTTTCAGAATAAAGATAATTGATGTTTAATTTACTAATCAAGATATAAAAACATAGACTAGATCATTTTAACTGTGACATCTAAACTTTTGATTTAAATAAGACTATTAATTCCTCAATGTCAAATTTGACAGAAAAAGTAATTCATTTTAAAAAGTGTGCTGTGTTTGTATTGCCCTAGCTTTTGGTTCAAACTTCCAGTTAAAATTAGGAAAATAAAACGAAGAACACTGGAAATAAATATAAGTTCCAGGTAATTTTGAATGGTAGGAAGCAAATGGTAATATATTGATGCGCAGACGTACACACACATTGAATGGCACATTATCACAGAAGACGCTCAAAGCAGTTATGAGCCTTTACAGGGAAAATGTCAAGATACCACCCATTTGGAGACAATAGACAATAGATACAGAGGGTGGTCTTTCTTATTTTAACATTTAAGAACAGCAGTAGAACCCTAGATGGTGTTGTCTGTCCCTTTCCCTGTACATAATGTATCTTAAAAAGTGAGTACTGGAATATGATTCTTAATGAATCTGATCCTCTCTTTCAAGAAACAGAAAAGAACTTTGTAAGAATCTACAGCAAACTTAGAGCAGGAAACATATTTTTTTAAATAACAATAGCTCTAGCAAGAAAAAAACACTCCATACGCAAAGATTTTTGTTTCTTTTAAACCAAAGATTTCACATCAGGAATTGAATGCTGCATAAAGTTGAGGACATCAAAGATAACGTATGAGTGTAGGATAACTGTGACCACTGGGGAAAACCAAAAACACAAAACAAAAAGAAAGACAAATAAAAAAATCTCTAGATGGGGACCACCTCTGGGCACCCAGCTAGTGGGAACAGCTTGGGGAATGAGGACAGTGGGGACGCTGAGAAGACTTTTCTTCTTTTTACTTCTATTCTTATTTTAAAATGTATCACTCTGCATAGTGCATCTATTTTGATAGTTTTTCTCTTAAATTACTGTTTTTGTCTTTATATACATGAAGTGTCAGTTGAAAAGCTGCTTTAGTATCTAACCACTAGGGGGTGCCCTCATTGCACATATTGATGTACAACTGGTCCAGGGCTGATCTGGACAAGGGATGCCATGAGATAAATTTTACTTCAGGCTAATGTCAATCTGAACTTGTTTCGCTGTTTAATGTATACATATAAAATCTGATCTGAGGATCTGACATCTTGACATCACTGTATTCTTCATAGTGAGACATAAAGCCACTTTTTTGCATTTCTGTTAATATTCAGAGTTTTGCAGGAAAGAATGAAACACTGGAAGCAGTTACTGAAGCTCAGATTCCTGTTCTCTTCAGGAGACACATAAACCCTCATACATATGCAGCCTCAGTTTTTAAAATATTACATAGTTGCTTATATTTATTTCTATCAGTTTAAAAAATATTTATATAAGCTGATTATGACATCTATTAATATTTTTAAAATTCAAATTTTTCTTAAAAATTGTTATCCCCTCAAATGTAAAAATATTAAATTTTGCTATATTATCACTAGTGTAAAGAACTTATTGTTGTATTTGTTAATCTGTTAGAACATTTTAAACATTGTTAATATTTCACTTTTATTCAAATTTTATGTTACAATTACACTTACAATTAATAAATAGCTTACTATAATGTTCTGGTAGGGAATTCCTTAGTAAAATAATGCACAAGAATATATTAAAATTTATATAGAGTAATTGATATTATTTTTCCATAAGGGCCAATGAGATTAAATGAACCTTCTTTCTTCTTTTCTTTTCTGTTCTTTCTTTTTTTTTTTTTAACCTCCTGCTCCCGGGTTCAAGCAATTCTCCTGCCTCAGCCTCCCCAGTAGCTGGGACTACAGGAGCCAGCCAGCACACCTGGCTAATTTTTTTGTATTTTTAGTAGAGACAGGGTTTCACCATGGTCAGCCTGGTCTTGAACTCCTGACCTCAGGTGATCCACCCGCCTCAGCCTCCCAAAGTGCTGGGATTACAGGCATGAGCCACCACGCCTGGCCCCTTGTTTCTTATATTTAGAAATATCAACATAAAAATTTAGAAACTTTAATAAATAATTAATGTGAAACTCCAAATACAGTCTTGGCCTTAGAAAACATCAAGAAAAATTTGGGGAGCCTTTAAAATGAGGAAAAAAATAATGGGTGTGTTGTCTAGATTACTCATTCAGGTTATTTACATCTTTGATTGTCTTTGAGCTATTTTGAAACCAAGTAAACTGTAAAAAAATGCAAATGATTTTTTTCTATAAATCCCAATTAATTGTACCTAAGGAATGAAATTGATTATTGTCCTGTAGATGGGCCTTTAAAAAACTTTGTAAATTCATTTTCAGAATTTCTTTTTTTATTATTATACTTTAAGTTTTAGGGTACATGTGCACAACGTGCAGGTTAGTTACAATATGCATACATGTGCCATGTTGGTGTGCTGAACCCAGTAACTCATCATTTAACATTAGGTATATCTCCTAATGCTATCCCTCCCCGCCGCCACCCCAAAACAGGCCCCGGTGTGTGATGTTCCCCTTCCTGTGTCCATGTGTTCTCATTGTTCAATTCCCACCTGTGAGTGAGAACATGCGGTGTTTGGTTTTTTGTCCTTGTGATAGTTTGCTGAGAATGATGGTTTCCAACTTCATCCATGTCCCTACAAAGGACATGAACTCATCATTTTTTATGACTGCATAGTATTCCATGGTGTATATGTGCCATATTTTCTTAATCCAGAATTTCTTATTTCATAGGTACGTGTGCTTCTTGAAATTCTCTTTTGAAATGGTTGTAATGGTTTCCACCCTTATTTTATTATTATTTGGAAGGAGCTTCTTTTTTATTTTTTTACTTTTATTTTATTTCATTTTTTTTGAGACAGGATCTCACTCTGTAGCCCAGGCTGGTGGGTGGTGGTACAGTCACGGCTCATTGTAGCCTCTGCCTTCTGGGCTCAGCCTTAGCCTCCTGATAGTTGAGACTACAGGCATGAGCCACCATGCCTGGCTTCCTCATTCGTTATTGACATAGCATCTTTGACATATGTTTATCTTGTGTTTGTATAAGAGTTATTATTTTGCTATTGTTTGAAAATAGTCTAAAAGATTAGCAAGATTATGATCTAAAATAATGGATGAGGATTCGGATCAACAAATGCTGATCAGATTCCATTAAAACAAAAGCTATTAAAAGATTTAAAAAAGAGTTTTATTCTTAAAAGTCTAATAAGACTTGAATTCTTTGAATATATTAAAATACAACATGAGTTTTACCTAGATAAGCTTTTAAGAAACTATTATCTTTTCTCAGCCTTGGGGTTTGAAAGCTCAAATTCTTTGCACACAAACTCTGATAAATCCCCACAATCAATGTCAGTGTCATATACATCATATTGTTTGATACTTTAGAATAAAATGCATATGGATCTTAGATATGTGAACATACTTAGGTAGTAAGATATCTATCTCTATATATCTATATTTATATCTATATCTATATCTATATCTATGTTAGTACTATTGCAGTATAATACAATAACCTCCTCTAGCCATCCCTCACACCCACCCAACTTATTCGTTCTGAATCTGGTAGGAACAAGTCTAAATAAAAAACTTTACAGTACAGCCCAGGCATGGAATATTTATTTCCTGATATTCTCAAATTTGTTTTTCTCATGCCATAGTTATTGCTTAATGTATGACTGGGCTAGATGTAAGTGTATTTATAAGAATAGGCCTACAGTTTGAGGGTGCTACATAAGGAACAAAGCATTTATTCTCCCTGGGGATGGCCCAGATTGCAGAGCTTTTTAGAAATCATAACTTCAAAGAAATACTGTTTTTTTTTTTTTTCCAAACTGAACAATCCTTGGGCTTTAGTCCATGACTGCTCCAGCTTCTGAAGGCATATGTCTGTGGCCAGTGGTTGCTGGCTGAGTAGCATTAGGTGCAAGCCAATAGGGCAGTTGCCTACAGTAACAATCTTTGGAGAGCACAAAAATATTGCTGGGCTGCTAAAACATCACTAGAAATATAAGTGGATAAAGGAAATGTGTTTATCAGCAGTAGGAGGATATTAAGATGGGACTCTCACAGTTTGTCTTTATGGAAACAAAAGAGCAGGGGATGAAATGTTCAGTTGCACTTATGCCACATTCTAAATCAAATCCAAGGCATGGCCTTGGATGTGTGCCATGTAAAGTAGGTGACTCTCAAGTAGTCCCTTAGCCCGGTGGTTCTCAACCAAAAGCATTTTTGCCCCCTAAGGAGTGTTGGCAATATCTGGAGATATTTATGGCTTGGGTGGTGTGGAAAAGATGCTACTCACATCTAGAGTATAAAAACCAGCAATATGTTAAGCATTCTGTAATGTTCAGGACCACCCTACATAACAAATAATTATTCAATCCAAAATATCCTTAGTGCTGATGTTGAAAATCCTAGCTTAGTGTAACAATACTCTTATGATTATAGAAGAGCTGAATTAGAGAAGTCAGGAATCACAATTTGTTTGAATAAAGTTGTTAGATTTATGTGGAATTTTAATCTCAATTAGGGAGAGAGGCTTTCTTTACGCATCAGGTTTAGTTGACAGACTTTTAAAAGAATCTGTCCTTGAAAAAATTAGTATTTGTCTCTTGAATTTGAAGAGTCAGTGGCATCGGCAATTAGTCATGTCTGAGAAGAACATTTATGAAAGGCACCCTTACAGCCAGCTGCTCTGATGGCCATGTGAGAAAGGGTGACCACAAGAGGTAAACCTGCACTTTTAAGACCTAAGGAAATATGTTTCTCAGGAATCAGATTAGAATCTTTGATACAAGGGTTTGTATTCAGTCTTTTTGAAAGGGACTATGCCTGACTAGGTGCAGTGGCTCACACTGTAATCCCAACACTTTGGGAGGCCGAGGTGGGTGGATCACCTGAGGTCAGGAGTTCAAGACCAGCCTGGCCAACATGGTGAAATCCCATATCTACTAAAAATACAAAAAAAAAAAAAAATTAGCTGGGCATGGTGGTGGGTGTCTGTAATCCCAGCTACTAGGGAGGCTGAGGCAGGAGAATCTCTTGAACCTGGGAGGTGGAGGTGGCAGTGAGCTGAGATTGCACCATTGCACTCTAGCCGGGTCAACAGGAGTGAAACAAAAAAGAAAGAAAGAAAGAAAGAGAGAAAGAGAGAAAGAGAGAGGGAGAGAGGAAGGAAGGAAGGAACAAAAGGAAGGAAGGAAGGAGAAAGGAAAGGAAAGGAAAAGAAAGAAAGGAAGGAAGGAAGGAGAGAGAGGGAAGGAGGGAGGGACTGTGCCCAAAACTGTAATCTGGGTTGTGTTTGGGAGTGGAGGCAGGTCTTAAGGACCCCACCAGATCAAGCATCACTGGTATTAAAAACTTTGCTTATGAGTAGCGTCTAGGGATGGAGAAAGTCTTATCTCCAAAGGGCTTAGAAAGCACCCGTTTAAAAAAAGACCACCTTCCATGCCACTGCACTCCAGCCTGGGCAACAGAGTGAGACTCTGTCTCAAAAAAAAAAAAAAAAAAAAAAAGAAAAAGGAAGAAATGCTCAAGTCAGATAAATGGAGAAATGGAGGTCAGCAGACCTTGTCATGTCAATGTAGTCCTCTTAGCCTGAAGCAGAACCAAGCTGGAGGAGAAGAAGGTTTTAGAAACTTATGAATTAATTAATTAACTTAAAAATAAGTTTAAATCATTATGGGTACATAATAGTTGTATATTTGTGTGTGGTACATGTGATACATTGATACAGACATACATTGGGTAATGATCAAATGAGGGTAATTGTAGCATCCATCACCTCATGTACTTATTATTTTTTGTTAGGAACATTCCAATTTCACTCTTTTAGTTATTTTAACATATATTCACACAATAAACAATTGTGAACTAAACCCACCCTATTGGTCTACCAAATACCAGATCTTATTCATTCTGTGTGTTTGTCTCCTTTAACCCTTCTTACATTATCCTTCCCTCACTGCTATGCTTCCCAGACTTCTAGTACCCATCAATCTACTCTATATCCCCATGAGTTCATTTTCTTTTAGCTCCCAAATATTAGTGAGAATATGTGAAATTTGTCTTTCTGTAACTGGGTTATTTCACTTAACACAATGTCCTCCAGTTCCATCCATGTCATTACAAATGACAGGATTTCTAATGCTTACATGATAGTCCATTGAAGCTACCAGAAAAAAGCACTGGACATTGGTCTGGGCAAAGTTTTCTTGAGTAGTATCTCAAAAGCACAGGCAACCAAAGCAAGAATGGACAAATGGGATCACATCAAGTTAAAAAGCTTCTGCACAGCAAAGGTAACAATCAACAGTAAAGAGACAACCCACAAAATGGGATAAATATTTGTAAGCTACTCATCTGACAAGGGATTAATAACCAAGATACAAGGACCTCTAACAACTCAATAGAAAATAATCAAATAATCCAATTAAAAATGGGCAAAAGATCAGAATAGACATTTATCAAAAGAAGATATACAAATGGCCAACAGGTATATGAAGAAATGTTCAACATCTCTAATCATCAGATAAATGGAAATCAAAACTACAATGAGATATCATCTCACCCAAGTTAAAATGGCTTTTATCCAAAAGACAGGCACTAACAATTGACAGCAAGGATGTGGAGAAAGAGGAACCCTTCCTTGTACATCGTTGGGGGAAATGTAAATTAGTACAACCACTATGGAGAACAGTATGTACTGCGGGATCTGGCCAGCAGCCCTCAATGCAACGGGGCTCTCTCTTTGTTCCCAGGTGGATCGGCAGGTTGAGAAATAATAGACACACACAAGATAGTGAAAGCTGGGTCCAGGGGGGTCACAAACTTCTGGTCCCACGGTGCCAACAATGCACTGGATATACCAGCATTTATTATTAAGTTTAGTGAGGGCAGGGGTAGGTTAGTGAGGGATTAGAGTCATTTGATTATGAGGTGAGATGGTCACATGGGCATGAAGTAATTTTTTAACATAACATTTGTATGTAGAAGTACAGTACATTTGGATGTAGAAGTACATATACAGAGATAAGAATTTACAATATAGTGTGTGTGTCAGTAATTTCTAACAGAGCCTGAAAACAGAAACACAATTTTTCCATAACCTATGATTAGCAAGATATTAATTGGCAATAACAGTTGCAGCAAAAGCTGGTTACAAACAATCCATAGAAACAGGACATGAAGCTAGACAACCGGTTAGACCAGGAATTCTCAGAAGGGAGTATGCCTTAACCCTAAAGAGGCCTAGAAGAGCCGTGGCAAGGTGAGGGCATTTATAGCCCTATCTTATCCATATGGAAAGGTGCCCCACCATGTGTCTGTTTATAGGCTCTCCACAAGTTCCCAGAGCTATGAACATCTGCTTTTCTGGGATAGGAATCTTGGTGATGTTAAACCTCCCTGACTGCATGTCCATTCATAGGCTCTCTGCAGGGGGAAGCACATCACACGCTGTTGGCTCATTCTGGCAGTCCAACCTGGCCTTGTCTTTACACAATCCTGCATGCAATTTTGTATTTACAATAATCAGGAGCATTTCATCTTTTATTCTATAGCCATAGTTTCAGGGGGTCTCCCTAGAAGTATGGAGGGTCCTCAAAACACTAGAAATAGAATTACCATATGATCCAGTAATCCCACTGCTGGGGATGTATCCAAAATAAAGGAAATCAGTATGTCGAAGAGATCTGCACTTGTATGTTTATTGTAGCACTATTCACAAGAGCCAGGGTGTGGAATCAGCCTCAGTGTCCAACAACGGATGAATGCATAAAGAAAATGTGGTACAAATACACAATAGAAATTTATTTTTAATTGCTAGACTATAACTATTTTGAGGACTAAAGCTATTGTGGAAGAATTTTCATTTTTTCAAAAGATATTTCCCAAATTAGGAGTTTTATTTAAGACACAAGGAAGAAATAGTACACAATTTGCATTTGAGAGGACAGTGGAGGAAGAGTAAATCGCTTTCTGTTTGTATCTCTGCTGTAGTAATAGCAGATGATAGGTAACGATGGCATTTAATGAAGGAAATATCTAAAAATGATGAGCCTAATTGCAGAGGCTTTGTTTTGCTAAGTGAAGTTTGCAAGCCTGAGGTCAAGAAAGTCCTGATTATTTTTAAAGCTAAGTAGGGATTCCACACTACATGCTACAGCTTTTTTATATTTTGTTCTCTTGCGCAATTAAGAATTTTAAGTGTGGCTATCACCAGCCTGCCTGGATCTTGGTTTGGACCCTTCCTTTCCAGGACACTTGCATTCCTTGCTACATGAGTTCATGAAAGATTATTTCTCATATTCATCTTTACACATTGCTTTCTTGTTCAACACTAGATTTTTTTCTAAACTAAAAACTACTGCTTCAGTCTAATTTTATCTACTCTCTGTTAGAATAGTTCTTAATGCATTAGTGATAAAAATTAATTCATTCCTTAATTTATGCTTTCCTTCAACTTATTTATGAAGCACATTTTTTATGCAAAAAGCTATCCTTCATGTTGTATATTCAATAACAGATGAAAGAGATCCAGTCTCTTCTTTTATGTAGCATACAGTCTGTTATATTATATTAAAAGTATTTAGTCCCAACAAAGTTCTTGATGTTGTACCAAGGTATTGCATACATGCAGGTGATGAAAACTAACATTAACCTAACTAACTAGCATGGAATTTAAAATCTAAAGTTGCAGAGAAATAGTGATAGTGGTAGATTAATGGTTGTGATATCAGCTCAAATGTTTTCAGTGTGCCACAATGAAACACAATGAAAACGTAATTTCTGGGAATCCCATGAAGATACTCTATATTGTCAGAAAACTCATCTGAAATTTTCAAATTAAGGCATAAAAGCATGCAGTACATCCTTTTAATGCAAAATGGGAGCAACAGTTACCCAGTGATGATCTAGGGGAATGTACTTAGCTTGTCTCACAGTTTATTATTTATTAATGTCCCAGATTCCATGTTAACTTGAAGACTTTTTGGTCCAGTAGACTTTTTGATCTAGTAAAGATGCAAATAATGTTCCTCTGGTAGACCAGATAACCCTTAAATGTTTATGACCCTGTCATACATAAATCAATATTGTATCTAATCCAGCAATCTTTTTCTAGCGCTGTTTATACATGCTTAGTTCATAATGCCCTCCAAACTGGCCACAATATCTTACTTTTTTCCTCATTAAATAATAAATTAAACAAATCTCTAACTGGCATTTATTTTATATTTGTCTGAGCACCATGATTTTTACCTACTGGAAAATTACACCTAAAAATAACAAGCTTATGGCAAATATATATTATAATATAGCTACATGACTTATAGGTTTTTATTTTAATCAAGGGTGGTTATTAAAATTGTTGTCAATTTGTTATTTATAGTACCTACCAAGATGATATCAAATTGTCTTTTTTAATCTCTTAAATTAGTGAAATATTGCTAATAATTATTTTACTATCAAGCCACCTTTATATTTATGGGATAAATAATACATTTAAAAAGCATTATTTAAAAATAACTCTAGGTTCAAATTGGTAATACTTTATTTAGAAGTTTTTTTGTGTGTATGTTAGTATTTGAGTTCAGTCTCTTCTTATTTTAATTGTAGATGTAATACTCATGTTTATGTTATTATAGAGATTGGTAGGCTTTTTTTTTCCTCCTATATTTTGAAATACTTTAAGCAATGTCTTTTGAAGTTTGATAGAATTTTATTTTGGAAAGATTTTAAATCTGTGATTATATTTTCAATTTATTCAATGAATATTGGCCTACTCAATTTTTCTACCTGATTTTAGGTCACTTTTTAAAATATAGATTATCTTACTAAATTGTCCATTTTATCTAGATGACCACATTTATTGGTAAACAGTTTTATATATAGAGAGAGTATTATTTTATTAACTTAAACAAATTGTGAAAGAAATACTTACACATATACCTGTGTTTCCATCCTGATGGGTGTTCATATGTATGTATTTTTCTATATGAAGGAATAATACTGAGCATATTGTTCTATAACTTGCTAATTTGCAACATGCTGCAATTTATGATATGCTCCCACATCTTTCCATGACACTTCATGTAGATTTCTTTCATTTTATAATAATTAAGATAATTTGCTTTAATGGTGCATAGACCATGTGGAGTAGAAATTCTAGATAAGACAATTATTGTACTATTGATAGACATATGAGTAATTCCAAATATTTTTTAGTAACAAACAATACTAACGTGAATTTAGTTTTGCATATTTTGTGTACAGGTGGTATTATTGTGGAACACATACCAGAAATGCAATTATTGAGTCAAATGTTTTGCATATAAATTTTAAAAATAGTATGACATTTTCTGGCTGGGTGCGGTGGCTCACGCCTGTAATCCCAGCACTTTGGGAGGCCGAGGCGGGCAGATCACGAGGTCAGGAGATCAAGACCATTCTGGCTAACATGGAGAAACCCCGTCTCTACTAACAATACAAAAAAATTAGCCAGGCATGGTGGCGGGCACCTGTAGTCCCAGCTACTCGGGAGGCTGAGGCAGGAGAATGGCATGAACCCGGGAGGCGGAGCTCGCAGTGAGCCAAGATCACGCCACTGCACTCCAGCCTGGGCGACTGAGCGAGACTGTCTCAAAAAAAAAAAAAAAAAAAATAGTATGACATTTTCCTCAAAAAAGCCTCCAATCAGTTTGCACTCCAATCAGCATGTCTCACCAAACTAGATATTATCAAGCATATTCATTTCTATAATTGCCAACATGGCGAGTAAAATGTGTATCTTACGTATAATTGCATCTTCTTTATTTTAATTTGTAAACCTTTTATTAAGTCCCTCCATGATATGTGTTTTTCATTAGCTTTTACCTTCATATTAAAGCCACTTTATTGAGGTATAATTGAAATATGAAAAGCTGCATATATTTAACATATAGCCATTCATGAATTTGGAGATGGGTGTAAAATAAATACACCCATGAAATGATCACCACAGTCAATGCCATAAATGCACCCATCACCTCCAAAATTTCCTCTAGCCTTCTTTATTATTATTACTGTTGTTGATGTGATAAGAATACTTAACATAAGAGCTACCCACTTAGCAAGTTTTAAAGTATGTAATGTAGAATTGCTAACTGTAGGCACTATACTGTACAATAGATTTTTAGGACTTATTCACCTTGCATGAGTGAAACTTTATACACCTTGACCAATAATTTGACTAATACTACATGATCATAACAATAAGATAACGGCATAAAAATGACATATAATTCAATGGAAGAAAATAGAAAGGCTAGAAGTAAACACATTCACATAAGGTAAACTAATCTTTGACAAAGATGCCAAGAAAACACAATGGAAAAAGGACAGTCTCTTCAATAGGTAGTGTTGGGAAAACTGAGTATCTACATGCAAAAGAATAAAACTGAGTTCTTATCTTATAGCAGATACAAAAATCAACTCAAGGCCGGGAGCGGTGGCTCACGCCTGTTATCCCAGCACTCTGGGAGGCTGAGGCAGATGGATCACCAGGCCAGGAGTTCAAGACCAGTCTGGCCAACATAGTGAAACCCCGTCTCTACTAAACGTACAAAAATTAGCAGAGTGTGGTGGTGTATGCCTGTAATCCCAGCTACTCGGGAGGCTGTGGCAGGAGAATCATGTGAACCCGGGAGGCAGAGGTTGCAGTGAGCCAAGATCACGCCATTCCACGCCAGCCCAGGCGACAGAGGGAGACTCTGTCCCCCTCCAGTAAAAAACCAACTCAAAATGGACTCAATCCTTAAATGAATGACCTGAAAATGTGAAACTCCTAGAAAAAAAACATACAGAAAGTCTTCCAAGGACTTTGGTTTTGCAATGATTTTTTCGATATGACAACAAAAGCATAGGCAGCAAAAGCAAAAATAGACAAATGGGACAACATCAAACTAAAAATCGTCTAAACAGAAAAAGATCATTAAAATATAGACTGGGCACGGTGGCTCACACCTGTAATCCCAGCACTTTGGGAGGCTGAGACAGGCAGATCACAAGGTGAAGAGATTGAGACCATCCTGGCCAAAGTGGTGAAACCCCGTCTCTACTAAAAATACAAAAATTAGCTGGTGTGGTCGTGAGCGCCTGTAGTCCCAGCTACTAGGGAGGCTGAGGCAGAAGAATCACTTGAACCCAGAAGGCAGAGGTTGCAGTGAGCCAAGATTGTGCCACTGCACTCCAGCCTGGCAACAGAGCAAGACTCTGTCCCAGAAAATAAATAAATAAATAAATAAATAAATAAATAAATAAATAAATAAATAAAATATCATAAAGATATTTGCCAGCCATTTATCTGATAAAGGATTAATAATCCAACACATATAAGAAAACTTTCTTATTTTTATCATTACTTTTATTGAATTTTTTTAAACTTCATGAGTACATGAATATCCAGATGGTTAATTTTCAGCTTCTCTGCCTTATTTTAATATGCTTATTGGCTATTTTAATTTTCTTCCCTACCTATTCTTCATTAAATCATTTTTGCCTTTTTCATAAGTCCTTATCCATCTTGGTTATAAGTAGATAAGGCTTAAAATTTCCAGTAGGTAAAGACAATAAACACACTGTTTTGTCACTCCCTTAAATTGTTTTTTTTTTTTTAGAAGCCATGAGCTTCTAATGTTTCTGCCCCATCTCCAATTTTATCCACCCATCCTTTTTTCTGGTTTTCAAATTATCTTTGCTTTGAGTCAGTGTTATTCACTGGAAAAGCAAAGTGACATACTCCTACAGAAGGACTGTCGACTCTCCAGTCACATTATGCTTCCCATCACTACCACATTATAGAAGTATCAATTAGAGGTGATGACAAGATGTTCTACCAAATACATATTTTCTCAAAATGAAGCAGGCATATTAGAGAAAATCTTTGACAAAATGCCATTCATATTCCCGTAACTCCTGTCCTTGATTTTGCATGCTAGTCAAAAAATGTTAACACATAGTCAACACTTTGAGTTGGCGTGTTCCCATGTTAAATAAACCACTTTCTAAGTCAAAATTATTTTGGTTATAATTAACAGAAAATCATTTGAAAACAACTAAACAAAAACCAGGAATACAGGGATATCTTATAGATTTATATTGCAGGAAGCTCTCCTGAGGGTCTGCAGTCAATATTTGGAAACTGCCAGTAATGAAGACCAACGACTCTTCCTCTTCCTCTTTCTCTCATGGCCGCTTATTACTTACATCACTGATTTATTTTTGCATATGCTTCATTTTTCTTTCTGAAGAATCATTTTCTCTATTATCTCCATGCCAAATAATAACCAATCGGATCCTGTGTGTATAAGTGCTCTATTCACTTGTAAGCGTTTCGAAGAAAAATTGCATTGGACAAAGTTAAACAGGCAAGGAATATCTTATTCAAAACCATTGTAACAGGAAATAGAGATTGAACTCAACTCCAGTGAAAGAAAAGGAGGTTTGTAGCTGCTGGTGAGCTAGTGGAAAAGCACTGGAGGATGTTAGCAGGGAGATAGTTCTACGGGATTAAATTAAGCACAATGCCTCATTCTTAAGTTTACAAATGTTTTGTTCTCTGTAATTAGGCTATTCGGATATGCTAATTGGTGTCCATTAAAGTTAGGTTCCTACTCCTACTCAACAGCAACTGGGGTATGGAATACTATTTTTCCTGATGACTACATTTTGAACGGATGGCTCTCAGGTCTTCAGAGAGGAACGTTTCTGAATTATTAAACTGGTGAGAGCTAGTAGAAGATATATACACATTTCATAGAGGCAGAGAGCATTTGGACAAGTGTTCTGAAGTAAATCCTCAAAGAACAGGAAGATGGGGCCTATAGTATGGATTAAACCAGTCTAAACTTTAGTCAAACTGAAGGAAACTTTAAGCCATCTTAGTAAAGCCCAAAGTTATAATCAGTTTTCATTTGGATTCCAAATTCAAAGTGAGTAAAATTGATTGCCTCAGGGAAGGTTAAATGTCTAATCCAGGTCCAATCAGAATTATCTGTTCAAGTTGTATAATGTGGCTTCCCAGGTAGTTCTCAGAGGCATGGGTTATAGTTGAGTAATTCTGCAAACATTTATTGTGCTATTGTTCTGAAAATGTTGTTTATTATTTTGAATACTTAAAGCATTAAAGTTACATCTCCAAGCAAACCTCTGAAATGAGAACGTGTAATAAGCAAAGATACTAATGGACCTTAGTGTTATGCAACCAATTAACAGAATATGGACATAAAACAATATACAGTAATACTGGAAAAAGATGTAGTTTATGTATAATCTGATGAGCTACCTGAAGCTATTTTTCTAAAAACATAGATTTTAGGTTCAGGGGTACATGTGCAGGTTTGTTACATAGGTAAACTCGTGCCATGGCGGTTTCATGTAAAGATTATTATGTCACCCAGGTATTAAGCCTAGTACCCATTAGTTATTTTTCCTGATCCTCTCCCTCTTCCTGCCCTCCTCTCCAGTAGACCCCAGTGTCTGTTTTTCTCTTTGTGTCCATGCGTTCTCATTATTTAGCTGCCACTTATAAGAGAACATGTGGTATTTGGTTTTCTGTTTCTGCATTAGTTTGCTAATGATAATGGCCTCCAGTTCCATCTATGCTCTTGCAAAGGACATGATCTCATTCTTATTTATGGCTGCATAGTACTCCATGGTGTACATGTATCACACTTTCTTTATCCAGTCTTCCACTGATGGGCATTTAGGTTGATTCCATGTCTTTGCTGTTGTGAATGGTGCTGCCATGAACATAATGCATGCATGTGTCTTTATGATAGAACAATTTATATTCCTTTGGGTATATGCACAGTAATGGGATTGCTGGGTCAAAAGGTAGTCCTTGTTTTAAGTTCTTTGAGGAATCTCCCCATTGCTTTCCACAATGATTGAAGTAATTTACACTCCCACAGTGTATAAGTGTCCCCTTTTCTCCACAACCTCAGTAGCACCTGTTATTTTTTGAATTTTGAAATAATAGCCATTATGACTGATTTGACTTGGTATCTCATTGTAGTTTTGATTTATTTCTCTAATGATCAGTGATGTGAGCTTTTAAAAAATATGTGCTTGTTGGTCACATTTATGTCTTCTTTTGAAAAATGTCTGTCATGTCTTTTGCCCACTTTTTAATGGGGTTGTTTTCCTCTTGCAGATTTGTTTAGTTTCCTTATAGATGGTGGATATTAGACCTTTGTCAGATGCATAGTTTTGCAGATATTTTCTTCCATTCTGTAGGTTGTCTGTTTACTCTGTTCGTAGTTCATTTTGCTGTACAGAAACTCTTTAGTTTAATTAGATCCCGCTTGCCAATTTTTGCTTTCATTGCAATTGCTTTTGGCATCTTTATCATAAAATCTTTGCTTGTTCCTAAGTCCAAAATGGTATTGCCTAGATTGACTTTCATGATTTTTATAGTTTGGGGTATTATTTTAAGTCTTTAACCCATCTTGAGTATATTTATATATATATGGCTTAAGGAAGGGGTCCAGTTTCAATCTTCTGCATATGGCTAGCCGGTTATCCCAGCACCATTTATTGAATAGGGAATCCTTTCCCTGTTGCATGTTTTGTTGACTTTTGCTGATGATCAGATGGTTGTAGCTGTGTGGCTTCATTTCTGGGCTATTTTCTTCCATTGGTCTATGTGTCTATTTTTATATGAGTACCACTCTTTTTCAAATACTGTAACCCAGTAGTATAGTTTGAAGTTGGGTAGAATAAAGCCTCCTGCTTTTTTCTTTTAACTTAGGATTGCCTTGGCTATTTGGGCTCTTTTTTGATTCCATATGAATTTTAAAATAGGTTTTGATAGTTTTGATAGTTCTGTGAATGCCATTGGAAGGTTGATAGGGACAGCATTACATCTCTAAATTGCTTTGAGCAGTGTGACCATTTTAATGACATTGATTCTTCGTATCCATGAGCATGGAATATTTTTCTATTTGTGTCATCTCTGATTTCTTTGAGCAGTGTTTTGTAATTCTCATTGTAGAGATATTTCATCTCCCTTGTTAGCTGTGTTCTTACATATTTTATTTTTTGTGGTAATAGACTGCATTCCTGATTTGGCTGGCCTGGATACTGTTGAGGTATAGGAATTCTCGTGATTTTTGTTCACTGATTTTGTATCCTGAAACTCTCCTAAAGTTGTTTATCGGCTGAAGAAGCTTTGGGGCTGAGATTTTAGAGTTTTCTAGATATAGTAGCAGGTCACCTGCAAACAGGGATAGTTTGACTTTCTCTCTTCCAATTTGATGCTGATATGGTTTGGCAGTGCCCTAGCCAAATCTCATCTTGAATTCCAATGTGATGTGGAAGGGACCTGGTGGGAAGTAATTAAATCATGGGGGCAGGTCTTTCTCATGCTGTTCTTGTGATAGTAAATAAGTCTCACAAATTTGATGGCTTTAAAAAGGGGAGTTTCCCTGCACTATCTCTGTTCTCTTCTTTGCTGCCATATGAGACAGGTCTTTCACCTTCCGCCATGATTGTGAGGCCTCCCCAGCTGTGTGGAAGTATAAGTCCAATAAATCTCTTTCTTTTGTAAATTTCCTAGTATCAAGTATGTCTTGATCAGCAGCATGAAAATGGACTAATAGAGTAAATTGGTACCAGAAGTAAGGTGCTGCTAAAAAGATACCCAAAAATGTGGAAGCGACTTTGGAACTGGGTAACAGGCAAAGGTCGGAACAGTGTGGAGGGCTCAGAAGAAGACAGAAAAATGTGGGAAAGTTTGGAACCTCTTAGAGACTTGTTGAATGGTTTTGACAAAAATGCTGATAATGATATTAACAATAAAGTCCAGGCTAAGGTGGTCTCCGATAGAGATGAGAAACATGTCGGGAACTGGAGCAAAGGTGACTCTTGTGTTGGTTTAGCAAAGAGACTGGAGGCATTTTGCCCCTGCCCTAGAGATTTGTGAAACTTTGAACTTGAGAGAGATGATTTAGGGTATCTGATGGAAGAAATTTCTAAGGAGCAAAGCATTCAAGAGCTGACTTGGGTGCTGTTAAAAGCATTCAGTTTTATAAGGGAAGCAGAGCGTAAAAGTTCAGACAATTTAAAATCTAACAATGTGATACAAATGAAAATTCCATTTTCTGAGGAGAAATTGAAGCTGGCTGCAGAAATTTGCATAAGGAATGAGGAGCCAGATGTTAATCCCCAAAGCAATGGGGAAAATGTCTCCAGGGCATGTCAGAGGTCTTCACAGCAGCCCTTCCCATCAGAGGCCTGGGGATATAGGAGGAAAAAATGGTTTTGTGGGCTGGGCCCAGGGTCCCCGTGCTGTGTGAAGCCTAGGGACTTGGTGTCCTGCATCCTAGCTGCTCCGGCCATGGCTAAAAGTGGCCAACATAGAGCTCAGGCCATGGTTTCATACAGTGGAAGCCCAAAGCCTTGGCAACTTCCAGGTGGTGTTGAGACTGAAAGTGCATTGAAGTCAAGAATTGAGGTTTGGGAACCTCCACCTAGATTTCAGAGGCTGTATGGAAATGCCTGGATGCCCAGACAGAAGTTTGCTGCAGGGGTGGGCCCTCATGGAGAACCTCTGCTAGGGCAGTGCTGAAGTACAACTTGGGGTCAGAGCCCACACACAGAGTCCCTACTGGGGCACTGCCTTGTGGAGCTGTGAGAAGAGGGCCACGATCCTCCAGACCCCAGAATGGTAGATGCACCGGCAGCTTGCACTGTGCACCTGAAAGAGCCACAAACAATCAACACCAGCCTGTGAAAGCAGCCAGGAGGGAGGCTGTACCCTGCAAAGCCACAGAGGTGGAGCTGCCCAAAGCCATGGGAGCCCACATGTTGCATCAGTGTGACCTGGATTTGAGACATGGAGTCAAAGGAAAACATATTGGAGCTTTAAGATTTGACTGCCCCTCTAGATTTTGGAATTGCATGGGGCCTGTAGACCCAGTGTTTTGGCCAATTTATCCCATTTGGAATCGCTGTATTTCCCCAATACGGGGACCCACATTGTATCTAGGAAGTAATTAACATGCTTTCGATTTTACAGTCTCATAGGTGGCAGGGACTTGCCTTGTTTCAGGTGAGACTTTGGACTGTGGACTTTTGAGTTAATGCTGAAATGAGTTAAGATTTTGGGGGACTGTGGGAAAGATGTGATTGGTTTTGAAATGTGAGGACATGAGATTTGGGAGGGAGCAGGGTTGGAATGATATGGTTTGGCTGTGTCCCCACCCTAATCTCATTCTGAATTCCCACTTGTCATGGGAGGAAGCTGGTGGGAGGTAATTGAATCATGGGGGCAGATCTTTCCTGTGCTGTTCCTGTGATAGTGAATAAGTCTCATGAGATCTGATGGTTTTAAAAAGGGAAGTTTTCCTGCACAAGCTCTTTTCTCCTGTCTGCCACCGTGTGAGAAGTGCTTTTTGCCTTCTGCCATAATTGTGAGGCCTCCCCAGCCACATGGAATTGTAAGTCCAATAAACTTTTTTTTTCTTTTGGCAAATTGCCCAGTCTCAGGTATGTCTTTATCAGCAGCATGCAACAGATTAATACAGATGCTCTTGCCTGGTTGCTCTGGCCAGTACTTCCAGTACTATGTTGAATAGTAGTAGTGATAGAGGGCATCTTTGTCTTGTTTCCAGACAAAGATGTCCTGTCTCACTACTCCTATTTTCAAGGGGAATTATTCCAGCTTTTGTCCACTCAGTAAAATGCTGGCTGTGGGCTTGTCATAGATGGCTCTTATTATTTCGAGGTATGATTCTTTATTTTACCTAATTTGTTGAGAGTTTTTAACATGAAGAGATGTTGAATTTATAGAAATTATTTTCCACATTGAGTGAGATGATCATGTGTTTTTTGTGTTTAGTTCTGTTTAAGTGATGAATCACAGTTATTGATTTTTCTATGTTGAACCAATCTTTCACACTAGGGATAATGCCTACTTGATTGTGGTGGATTAGCTTTTTGATGTACAGCTGGATTAAGTTTGCTGGTATTTTGTTTAGGATTTTTATGTCAACATTCCACGAGTGTATTGGCTTAAAGTTTTCCATTTTTGCTGTGTCTCTGCCAGGTTTTGGTATCAGGATGATACTGGCCTCATGTCATTAAGTGGGGAGGAGTCCTTCCTCCTCAATTATTTAAAATAATTTCAGTAGGAAGGGTACCAAGCCTTCTTTGTATATCTGATGGAATTTGGCTGTGAATCCATCTGGTCCAGGGCTTTTTTTTTTTTTTTTTCCATTGTTAGGCTATATATTACTGATTTAATTTTGGAGCTCCTTATTGGTCAGCTCAGGGATTTAGTGTCTTCCTCCTTCAGTCTATGAAAGAGGTATGTGTCCTGGAATTTATTCAATTCTTCTAGATTTCCAGGTTTGTGTTCATAGAGATGTTCATAATAGTTTCTGATGTTTATTTGTATTTCTGTGAGGTCAGTGGTAAGATCCCCTTCATCATTTCTGATTGTGTTTATTTGGATCTGTTCTCTTTTGTTCTTTACTATTCTAACCAGTAGTACATCTAGCCTTCATTTTTTTCATAAAACATCTCCTGGCTTTGTTGATCACTTAAATGGGTTTTCATGTCTCAATCTCCCTCAGTTCAGCTCTGATTTGGGTTATTTCTTGTCTTCTGCTAGCTTTGGGGTTAGTTTGCTCTTGCTTACCTAGGCCTTTAGGTGTGAGAGTAGGTCATTAATTTAAGCTCTTTTAACTTTTTGATGTGGACATTTAGTGTTACTGTCTTCCCTCTTACTACTGCCTTACATGTGTCACAGAGATGCTGGTATGCTGCGTCTTTGTTCTCATCAATTTCAAACTATGAATGGATTTTTGCCTTCTCATTATTTACCTAAAAGTCATTCAGGAGTAGGTTGTCTAATTTGTTTTTATTTGTATGGTTTTGAGCAATTTTCTCAGTCTTGAATTCTATTTTTATTGTGCTGTGTTCTGAGAGAGTTTTTGGTATAATTTTGTTTTCATTTGCTTATTGCTTTATGTCAAATTGCGTGACCATACTTAAAATATGTGCCACATGTAGATGAGAAGAATGTATATTCTGTTGGTTCTGGATGGGGAGTTCTGTAGATATCTATCAGATCCATTCAGTCCAGTGTTGAGTTCAGGTCCTTAATATCTTTGTTAATTTTCTGCTTCAGTGATCTGTCTAATACTGTCAGTGATGTGTTGAAGTCTCCAACTATTATTTCATGGAGTCTAAGTTTCTTTGAAGGTATCTAAGAACTTGCTTTATGAATCTAGGTGCTCCTGTGTTGGGTGAGTGAATATATATTTAGGATAGCTAGGTCTTCTTGTTGAAATGACACCATTACCATCATGTAATGCTCTTTGTCTTTTTAAATATTTGTTGGTGTAAAGTCTGTTTTGTCTGAAATTAAGATTGTAACCTCTGCTTTTTTCTATTTTCCATTTCCTTGGTAGATTTTTCCCCATTCCTTCATTTTGTGCCTCTAGGTGTCATTGCATGTGAGATGAGTTTCTTGAAGAAAGCATACCATTGGGTCTTGCTTCTTTATCCAGCTTGCCACTCTATGCCTTTTAGTTGGCATATTTATCTCATTTACATTCATAATTAGTATCAATATGTGTGGATTTGACCCTGTCATCATTTTAGCTTTTTATTATTCCGACTTGTTTGTGTTGTGGCTTTTTCATGTTACTGTTTGGTGTTCTTAAGTGTATTTTTGTGGTGGCTGGTTAATAGTCATTCCTTCTCGTTTAGAGTTTCTATCAGAGGCTGTAGTATGGCAGGTCTGGTGGTAATAAATTTCCTCAGCATTTGCTTGTCCATAGACTGTATAAAGAAAATGTGGCACATATACACCATGGAATACTATGCAGCCATAATAATGGATGAGTTTATGTCCTTTGCAGGGACATGGATGAAGCTGGAAACCATTGTTCTCAGCAAACTAACACAAGAACAGAAGACCAAACACTGCACATTCTCACTCATAAGTGGGAGCTGAACAATGAGAACACATGGACACAGGGAGGGGAATATCACATACCAGGGCATGTTGGGGGGTGGGGGTCTGGGGAGGGATAGCATTAAGAGAAATACCTAATGTAGGTGATGGGTTGATGGGTGCAGCAAACCACCATGGCACGTGTATACCTATGTAACAAAACTGCATGTTCTGCACATGTACCCCAGAACTTAAAGTATAATAATAATAAAAAATAAATGATGTACAATACTGATCTATGCTACAACATAAATTAACCTTAAAAATACTATATTGAGTGAAAGAAGTCAGTCATAAAGGATAATATGTTGTATGATTCCATTTATGTGAAATGCCCAGAATGAATAGGTCTATAGAGACAGAAAGTAGATTGTTAGTTGTCTAGGGCTAGAAGGATGGCATAATTAGGGAAGGATGACTGCAAATAGGTAAGTGGTTTCTTTTGGAGGTGATAGAAATGTTTTAAAATTGATTATGGTAAGGGTTGCACAACTCCATGAATATGCCAAAAGCTATTAAATTGTACACTTTAAGTGGGTTAATTATATGTGAATTATATCTCAATAAAGCTGTTTAAAAATTATGACATTTTTGAAACTATTGGAAATTTGAATATTGGATATATGATGGTAATAAATTGTTGATATTTTAACTGACAATGATCATATGCCTGTTTTTAAAGATTTCTTATCTTTTACAGAAAAATATTGAATTATTTATGGTTGACATTATGTGATGTATGGGATTTGCTTCAAAATAACTCAGTCATGAGCAGTGTGTGGCAATATAGATAAAACAAGATTGGCCATGAGATCATTATTTTTGAAGCCAATGATGTATATGTGTGGGTTCACTATATTACTCTGCCTGAATTTTTGTTTGAAATTTTCTCATTAAATTTTACTTTGGTGATTAAAATAATATGCACCCCCTCCTCAAAAAAAGAAAATAATTTTATTTCTCCTTTGCTTATGAATATTAGTTTGGCCAGATATTAAATTTTTGGTTGAGCCTTCTTTTCTTTAAGAATGTTGATTATAGGCCTCCAATCTCTCCTGGCTTGTAGACTTTGTCCTGAGAGGTCTGCTGTTAGTCTGATGGGCTTGCCTTCATAGGTGACCTGTCCTTTCTCTCTAGCTGTCTTTGACTTCTTTTTTCTTTTTTTCTTAACTTGGAGAATCTGATGATAACGTGTCTTGGAGATAATCTTTTTGACATTTTTGTGAAGTATTTTGCAGGTGTTCCCTGAATTTCTGAATTTGAATGTTGGTTTTGCTACCTAGGTTGGGGAGTTCTCATGGAAGATATCCTGATATGTGTTTTCCAAGTTATTTCCATTCTCCCCATTTTTAGCAAGGATGCCAATGAGTCATAGATTTGGTTCTTCACAGAATCCCATATTTCTTGGAGGTTTTGTTTGTTCCTTTTTATTCTTCTTTCTCTACATTTCTCTGACTGTCTTATTTCAGAAAGCCAGTCTTTAAGCTCTTTCCTTAGCTTGGTGTATTCTGCTCTTAATACTTGTGATTGCATTATGAAATTCTTGTGTAATATTTTTCTGCTCTATCCTGTTGGTTACATTGTTTTCTATACTGACTATTGTGTCTGTCATCTCCTGTACTGTTCTATTATGAGTCTTAGCTTCCTTAGGTTGGGTTTTAATGCTCTCTTGACTTTCAATAATTTTCATTGCTATCCATCGTCTTAATTCTATTTCAGCCACCTCAACTGGGTTAAGAATCCTTGTTGAAAAACTAGTGCAGTCATTTGCAGAAAAGAAGACACTGGCTTTTTGAGTTGTCAGAATTCTTGCAGTGTTTCTTTCTCATCTTTGTGGCCTGATGTTCCTTGAATATTTGAAGTTATTGACCTTTGGATTTTTTTTTTTCCTTTATCCTAGTTGATGACCTTGGGGGGTTGATTGCATTATAAGGTAAGTTCAGTCAACTGGCTTCATTACTGGAAGATTTCAGGCAGGCAAGGCTCAGCTCAGGACTCCTGGATTATGTGCTCTAACTCTGGGGGACTGGTATTGGGCTCCAGCTTTGATCTCTGGCTCCTCAAGTTTTGGATTGTGCTGCACTGTTGGGGCTGAGGTGCTCTCGGACTTCTGGTCAAAACACTCTGATAGTTGTTACCAGCCAAAGCACTTCATAGGATGGTTGTAGTGGGATCTGTTCTTGTTTGCATGTTCCAGGAGCGGCAGCAGTGGCAGTGTGGTGGAGTGCATGCTCAGCAGCTGCAGCAGGGTGCTAGCAGGTGACAGGGTGTCAGCCTCCTTGCAGATGTTCACACCAGCAGTGGGAGCAGGATATCTTATGGGTACCAGAGGCCCCTGCTGGCAACTGTGCATGTGTTTATACCAGTGGTGGTTTAGCATGGGGTTAGGGTGCTGGCTGGTACAGGACTGCATGCACCCTCTGTGTGTGTTCAACTTGGCGATAGTGGTTGTTCAGGACTAGGGACAGGTCCACGGTTTTCTGTGCCTAGTTTTGTGCAGATGGCCCCAGTTCAGGGTCAGTGTGCTGGTTGGGGTGGGACTGACAGGCTCCCTGCTGACAATGCTTGGGCAACATTGGAGGTACAGTGGGAAGAGGGGCTGTGATGCACTCAGATAGGCAGCAGTGACATGGAAGGATGTATGCGCACACACATACTGGTGGAGAAGGGAAGGCCAGGTCTCCTGCTGCACACACATGCCGGCAAAGTGATGTAGGAGGTGGCTGTGGGTGAGTACCTTCAAACAAAGCAGCATGGAGGAGACTGCAGTTGAGGTAGGGCATGAGTGAGCTGGTGAGTGTCCATGGGGGCCACTCTGCTGGACCACTCTACTGGTCAGGTGGTCCGTCAGCACAGGAGCTATGATTTGGGCCCCCAGGAGATACCAGGGGGCTGTACTGAAAGCAGGCATGGCCAGGTTGGGAGCCCGAGAGAGGCCAGAAGATCAGAGGCTGCTTGAGGGGTCTTTCCCTGTCTCATGAGCTAGACTACCCTGAAGAGTTCAGGTCTGACAGTTCTGCTGGGGCTAAAGTCTCCTACAGAAGCAAGTTGAGCCTAGGGGGATGAGTGACCCTGGCCATACTCGACTATAGATGCTTCTGCACCAAATTATCTATGCTCCACTCTGGTTGGAGCTTTGCCCCTATGACTTCTCTAAGCAACTGTCCCTGCCAACTCAAGTTTCCTTGATGATTGAGTGATCACCTCAAGGGGATTCCAGAGGCCTGTGGTGAGAGTGGCTTGCTCCTTGCCTGTTCAACTCACCCCCTCCACAGGAACTGTTGGGGGCCAGGAATAAATCCTGATGTGTGGTAGCCCTGTGAAGTGTTCCCAGCTTCCTCCCACTTCAGCCCAGCCTCTGTATGTTTCCTCCATCCACTTTCAATTCCTTCCTTCTGAAGATCTGCTAAAAGCACACTAGTCTTCCTGTTGCCCTGGTTCATTGGTGGGAGATGTTCCTCCTGGCTGCAACTAGTTGGACATTTTGGAGCAGGAATCACCTCCCCCATTTTCAACTTAATTTATCTGAGATTATATGTCTGTGATATTGAAACTCTGAAGTTTATACTCCTTAGAATGCTATTTAGTAAACATATGAATATACTTACCAGTCATTCTTTTAATAAATGTTTATTGAAACATTTACATAGATCAGAAACCAAAAAAATACTCCCCAAAGAAACTTTTAAAACAATATGAAAAGACAAAATTACAGAGATGCTCACAGTGCTATGGAAATAAAATGAAGGTCTGCCTAATCTAACTGGGGGGAGAAAAGAGGAAAAACAAGTTTGCTAAAAAAGCTGACCCTTAGATCGAATATGTTATAAGAACATGAGGAAGAGTACTGCATACAGAAGGTACAAAGTGAGTAAGGAGACAACATATAAACATTGGGAATTACAAAAGTTACTTATACAAAATTAAATTCTAAGTTAAGAAGTGTGAGAAATGAGACTGTAGAAGTAAGCTCTTATACATCACATTTAAAAATTTGAATTTTTTACACACAAATCTTATCACAGAAGCTCTTATTTGCACACACAAATCCTACCATGTAATGTCCATTTGTAACAACCTGCAGTGACTCTTGCAGTTCTTCCAAATGTTTCCATCATGGTACACATTGAAAGTAATAAAATTCAAATAACACCCTGAGAAAAAAAGAAAAGGCTGCTTGCTCATCCCTTTCCCCCATCCCATCTCAGGGCTCTCTCCGACTGTACCAAGGGCTGAGGATACAATTTGTCACAATAATCGCAGCTGTCCAGTGAAAGGCTTTGGAATGCCATTACACAGAGGGAAGATGGATGGCTACAAACCTGACAGCAGGGAGAAAAGTTTGGGGCAACATAAGAGCTGAACTTGGGGCTTCTAAGAGCTAAACTTAGAAACTGAGAAGGATGAGGAAGAGAAGTAGTGAAAGTGGGGGAAGAGACATGGATACTTTCAAGAAATATTTAGGAGATAAACTTGACAGGGCTTGATGAGTGATGACAAGGCAGGATGAAGAATAGAAATGAGTCCAGGATGACTCCACCTTATCATGTATTAGCCATGCTAGCATATGTTTACATAGCAGGGCTATAGTTTTCTCACATTTTAGGTAGATAAGGTGATGCAACATATAGTAGGAAAGGGAAATGTCAGGAAAAAAAAAGGACAGGCAGGAAAACAAAACCAACAAAACAGACCATGGGGGGAAAATATAAGGCCTTAAAATATAAGGGTTATTCATGGGGCAACAATAAATTCCAAAAGTTTAAACTGAATGAAAATGAGGCTCAAAAGGTAGATTTGGCCCACTTAGTTGAAAGTTAAGAAAATGCTACTAAGGAAATAATCAAATAGGGGTGGTGAGACTATTAGATACCTCAAGAAGTAGACTCATAAGTAACTTTGTTTCTATGTTGGATTGAGTAAACATCTAGAATTCTCAGACATTTAGAAAGCAGTAGGTAAGTCCAGACGTTCAGATTATATAATTAAATTCAGATATAAATAAGTCAGTTTCTCCCTCACTCTTCCTTTCCCTCCCTCCTTTCCTCCTTTCTTCTCTCTCTTTCAGTCTCTCCCTCCCTCCTTTCCTCTCTCTTTTCTCTCCCCCTCCCCCTCTCTCTTCTCCTCTCTTTCTTTCTCTCTCTCTCTCCTCCCTCCCTCCTTTCATCCCTCTTCTGCTTTCATCTGAGTTGCCTACGTGTCACACATATTGTTTCCACATAGCAGCAACATAACTCCTGGTGCCTGGTTCCTTAATAACTGCAATCTTAGAAGCAAAGAGATCTTTCCTCTCTGTGTAAAGTCACCCTCAAAATAAGCATACATGTCAATGTAAGAGTTACTCTCATTTTCTGTACTTTTCTTGTGCATAGACTTCAAACAATTCATAGATCAGTATAGTTCTGCAGACGTCACTTTGAATAACACTAGGTTTAGTGATCTTCCAACATTTTAAAAACCATCAAACCCAACACTGAACTTCTCTGAATGTAGTGGGAGTCAGTTCTTGACATCTTTGCCTGTTCTATGTGTTGTCCAGGATAGATGGAAACAGGGCCCTATTTATATAGTCTCACTGTATGGGAAACAAGCAGATAGATCCTCATGAGTTGCAGTACCAAAAGAAATGACTGAGCAAAAACGGAAGGCATGTCTAAAATAAGCATGGTGATCACAGTATATTACCCTGAATATTTTTAAAAGGGATTAATTCATCACTTAGTAAACGTTTATAGAATGTTTAATATAAATAAACATTTCTATGATAAGTTACAGGAAGGTGAAGTTAATATGCATAGATTCTACCTTTATGGGGTAGATTTATAAGAATATGACCCATAAACTGACACTGTCCAAGTATAGAGGAGTCCTCTATGTCTTAGACCTTAGGCAAAGTCTGTGTCTTTCGTGGTGAAAATGCCACCTTTGTTTTCTTTTTTTCTAGTTTCTTACTAGATATATAAATCATAAGAGTTGAGCTGCATTTGAAGTTGAGCACTGATGGTGAGCTGGAGCCTACCATACATTTAACAATTTCCTGGACTCTTCAATTTCAGTCCTTAAAAAGTAATAAATGTGACCACACCTGCAAAGACAAAGTTAACATCAGCCAATATGACCCTATGACATAACAGGCAATACTTATTTTGTTACCAATTGGAGAAAAGAGTCATAAGGGATTACCTCTGAGAAAAGAAACAAATATTTATTCTATCTCCCTTACTAATTGTATTATAGAGGTATCTTTCTTATTAGATTGCAGTTAGCCAGGAACTTGCTGAATAAAATGTTGATTGAATGAGTAAATGAGAGCAGCTTTCTTAATGAAGAAGCACTGCAGTTTTCCCCTTACTGAATCAGAAAAAAATACTTTATTATTTGAAAAAGGAAATAGAAAAAAATACCAAAGAGCAAGACATATCTGTCTCCAACACCAACTTTTTGTCCACTTATTTGTAAATGTATTTTTCACATGCACATATGATAGCTGAACTTTCTTTTTATATTTTGCTGTAATAAATGTGGACTTTATGAAGTCTAAGGGTAGAAAACAACCACCAATCATAGATAAATGCTTAAAGCTTCTTTTATTGTTTTTTAGCTGGTGCCCTTTGCTGAAGGATATCTCCTGTGCTCTTCAGTGGCAGAAGCAAAATAAAAACATTTCATTTTATGGAAGCAGTTAGACACACATCTGTTGTTCCAGAACTTCCATATTAAATGCTTGTCTACACAGGCCATGTCAATTAAAACTGTCTGTATGCAACAACAAAAAATTTAAGTCATATTGATATACAATGACTGTTACAGAATTTGGCCCCTTTTTATTTTGTCTTAATGGAAAGGAAGCCTTTCATTCCTTGAGTAGTTAAAAACTTAGGTTTATCTCTGTTGTAACCAAACTAAGACGAATGATACTAATTCATTTGGCTTTTATATCTATTTAAATCTTGTAAAAAAATAGCTTTTCACCTCTATAACCCTAGCATTGAACTTGGTGGCTATTTAATAAATAATTATACAGTGATTAAAGGAATGTATGAGTGAGAATAAGAAAAAAAACTTTGAGATTCTTAAAACAAGGTGAAATTATATTTGAAAATACAGACTTTATTTGAGAATTAAACTTTATTTTTATTCTCAGTACTAACAGCTAAAATAGTAAAATTAATGATGTTAATTTTTTTTTGTTTGTTTTTTGAGATGGAGGCTTGCTCTGTCACTGAGGCTGGAGCATAATCTCAGCTCACTACAACCTCTGCCTCCTGGGTTTAAGTGATTCTCCTGCCTCAGCCTCCTGAGTAGCTGAGATTATAGTCGTGTGCCACCACAGCTGGTTAATTTTTGTATTTTTAGTAGAGATGGGGTTTTCACCATGTTGGCCAGCCTGGTTTTGAACACATGACCTCAAGTGATCTGCCAGCTTCAGCCTCCCAAAGTGCTAGGATTACAGGCATAAGCCACCACGCTCGGCCAATAAATACTTTTGAAGAAACATAGATATACACACAAATTATGTCATATCTACAGATTGCCAAATTATTACCCCAAGTTGATTGTGTTTCAGGAAATAAGCTTCCAGATAAAAGATACTATAAAATATTTAGCATAAATATTTGATTTCCTTTAATTTTTTCAGCTTTTTGATTTTACATTAAATATTTCTTAGTATCTTTCATCTAGACTTTTACTCCCTAGAAGGTAAAAAAAAATTTAAATATGTATACCTATATAATTTTAAATAAATTCATAAATGAGATTATTCCATATTCCATTTTAGTGCAGTTTTGTTTTGTTTGGTTGTTTTGTGTCTTTGTTGCTGGATTCCTGTCTCATTTTCTTTTCCACTTTCATATCACCCTAGTCAGGGAATTAATTTCAGGCGAGATTGGGCCTGTTGAGTGTGGTATGGCCATAGATGTCAGGAAATTAATTTCAACAAGTCATTCATACTCTTATTTCCATATTCAGATTAGATTTCTTTATATCTACAAATATTTAAGGAAACTCCTTAATCTTCTCTGCTTCTCTTGAAGAAGTAGCTTTCCACCTAGATATGGTAATTTTCTTCCATTGATTGGCTCTCTGCTGTTATACAACCCTCTCTAAATATCTCCCTCTTTCTCGCTCTCTCTTTTTCTCATCTTTCACTATCCATTATTATGACTCAGATTTTATGTACATTAGCCCATTATTATGTTCCAATTATCTTCTAAAAGCCCTAACTCCACTTCATGTTTGAAAATACCCTGGGATGCAAGGCTGGTTCAACATAACAAATCAATAAACGTAATCCATCACATAAACAGAATCAATGACAAAAAACACATGATTATCTCAATAGATGCAGAAATCATCATTCTCAGTAAACTATCACAAGAACAAAAAACCAAACACAGCATATTCTCACTCATAGGTGGGAATTGAACAATGAGATCACATGGACACAGGAAGGGGAATATCACACTCTGGGGACTGTTGTGGGGTGGGGGGAGGGGGGAGGGATAGCATTGGGAGATATACCTAATGCTAGATGACGAGTTAGTGGGTGCAGCGCACCAGCATGGCACATGTATACATATGTAACTAACCTGCACAATGTGCACATGTACCCTAAAACTTAAAGTATAATAAAAAAAAAAGAAAAGAAAAGACATTCAAAAAAATCAACAGGACTTCAGGCTAAAAACTCTGAATAAACTAGGCATTGATGGAACATATCTCAAAATAGTAAGAGCTATTTATGACAAATCCATAGCCAATATTGTACTGAATGGGCAAAAACTGGGAGCATTCCCTTTGAAAACTGGCACAAGACAAGGATGTTCTCTCTCACCACTCCTATTCAAAATAGTATTGGAAGTTCTGGCCAGGGCAATCAGGCAAGAGAAAGAAAGGGTATTCAATTAGGAAAAGAGGTAGTCAAATTGTCTGTGTTTGCAGATGACATGATTTTATATTTAGGAAACCCCATTCTCTCAGCTCACAGTTGCCTTAAGCTGATAAGCAATTTCAGCAGTCTCAGGATACAAAATCAATGTGCAAAAATCACAAGCATTCCTATACACCAATAACAGACAAACAGAGAGCCAAATCATGAGTGAACTCCTATTCACTATTGCTACAAAGAGAATAAAATAGCTAGGAACACAATTTACTAGGGATTTGAAGGACATCTTCAAGGAGAACTACAAACCACTGCTCAAGGAAATATGAGAGAACACAAACAAATAAAAAAAAATTCCATGCTCATGCATAGGAAGAATCAATATCGTGAAAATGGCCATACTGCCCAAGGTAATTTATAGATTCAATGCTATCCCCATCAAGCTACCATTGACTTTCTTCACAGAATTGGAAAAAACTACTTTAAATTTCATATGGAACCAAAAAGGAGCCCACATAACCAAGGCAGTCCAAAGCAAAAAGAACAAAGCTGGAGGCATCATGCTACCTGACTTCAAACTATATTTACAAGGCTACAGTAACCAAAACAGCATGGTACTGGTACCAAAACAGAGATATAGACCAATGGAACAGAGCAGAGGCCTCAGAAATAACACTACACATCTACAAACATCTGATCTTTGAAAAACCTGAAAAAAACAAGCAATGAGGAAAGGATTTCCTATTTAATAAATGGTGTTTGGAAAACTGGCTAGCCATATGCAGAAAGTTGAAACTGGATCCCTTCCTTACATCCTACACAAAAATTAACTCAAGATGGATTAAAGACTTAAACGTAAGACTTTAAATGATAAAAACCCTAGAAGAAAACCTAGGCAATATTATTCAGGACATAGGCATGGGCAACAACTTCATGACGAAAACACCAAAAGCAATGGCAACAAAAGACAAAATTGACAAACGAGATCTAATTAATCTAAAGAGCTTCTGCTTCTTAATTCTCTAAATTAAGAATTCTCATGATACCCTATTCCAATCTCTCCAACTTTTTACTTCAGATTGCCCTTGTTATATTACTTCTACTTCTGAATTGGAGGCTAGGATTGTGTCTTATTCACATTTTGTCCCCACTCCTTATTTAGTTGTTCCCACATTAAGAATCTCAATAATGGTTGTTAAATGAATAAAATAATAAATAAATCAGTGAATAGTCTAGGTTTACTATACAACTTTAAATGCATATAGAAATTTAGAGCTGTTATTAGGTTGACATAAGAATCTATACTTTTCCTTCCTTTTTTCATTCTAAATCTACAGTTGTGCATAAAATAATGCAGATTTTAATAAGTGTTAAGAAATTACAAGTAATTACCATGAATAAAATAGGTAATTCAAAACTTCAATGACCATGGTTTAAGAAAAAATAACTCTATTCATGCTTCAAGACAAGCTTTTAAAATTAGTTGGTTAGTTTAATAATAACATATTTAATAATTATAAAATTTATTTGAAAAATAAAAAATACTAAAATAATTGAAAAATATAGAAAATATTCATTTAAAAATGAAATTATCTGTTGCATACTAAAATCTCTGTGACCTATAATAAATTTAATGTCTAACTTTTGTAATATTTATGCATAGTACCCATAACTCTATTTCTATATCTATATGCTTTTATTTTTATCATGTACTTTGCATTTCCCTTGTGTACTTTATTACACACATAATATTATAATCAATACGGTATTGGATTCTCCTTTTAAGAATATTAGAATATTTTACCATTCATAAATTATATATTACATAATTAATATATGTTAGATGTAGCCAAACAGGCATTTAAAGAAATTGCAGGAAGTGCATTAGTATTTTCTTTATTCTAAAATGAAGGTTTATAATTTTTGTTTTACATTTATTATCTGATGTATTATGGAGTGGCACTACTCAACTCATGGTCATTTTGAAATCAGCAAATTCAACTGGTCTTTTTGGTTATGCAATGAACATACTGCAATGTAGCATACTATTCATCTTCTCATATGCCCTGTGGTTAATCTTGTTGTTAATTAATAAAAACTAAATTAGAAAAGATTTGAGGATGTGTGTCTTAATCTTAATAAACTTTATAATAAATGAGTATGGGCATTAGCAAGGATTTTAAGCTGTAAAATTGTAAGCATGAAATCAGTCTCTTGACAGAAAAGAAAACTAAGACTCTATTAGATAATGAAATATGAGAGGGTCTTCTAGCAATTGAAATTGTCCCCTGGGTTCTTCAGATGTCAAGAAGCAACATACTTGGGACTGTTTTAAAAGTCCCTTTTTTTTAGTCTATCTGTGAAAATCTTGCTGGATTTGTGAACCTCTGAACATTACTGCCTGGAGTGGAGAACAATTAGATTCATTAATTTGTTTCCCTTCTGACTTCATTTAAAACATCCTCAGTAATAAAGCTTACTAACAATTGTGGGCTTGACTTTAGTACTTATTAGCAAATTATACTTTAAACTGAATATTGAGTTATCATCATGGAATGTGAATAAAAAGAGAGCATTTCAAAGCTGAAAAGAAACGATTGGGGGCACATGCTTTCAAAGTCATCAGATTTTATAAAATTAGAATTGTTTAGAAGATAGAAAACCCAGTGGCATAACTGTTTCTTGCATTATATTTTTCTATGTTAAAAATAGCTTGTATGATGAATAAAGATGTTTTCTTAGACATACATTATTAAAAGACTCTGTCATCCCCTAAGGGAGGACTACTTCATATAGTTGATGGGTATTGATGAGCATTGAGTCTTCTAGCAAATTGTCTTTGTCTCTAAAGAGTTTTGGTTGAAACATTTCTAGTTCACTTTAGTGGACAGCTAGTTTGTAAACCAAACTTTCTGCTAAAAAGAAAAAAAAATATTGGATTGACAAACACATATTGAAGATCCAAAAAGAGAAGAAACTTGCAGGCTAAGCTTCAGGTCAGAGTCTAACCAGAGAGGTAGGTGGAGTAATAAACAGTAAAGCCACTTTCATTCATAATATCTCTATCAATAAACAAACACTTGAAGGCTAGAGAGCAAAGATAACATAGTACCCAACCAATGCAGGTGCTTTTCTGGAAGTTTTTTCTGACTTTCAGATGTTGCACATTTTTAGATAATGATAAACCAGTTTTAAACTTGTTTTCCACATTCTACCTCCAACCATGTGAAACTACTGCTGTGACTGTATACAAGTGGAGATAGAAAAGAGAAGCAAAATGGAAAAAAAAGCCCTTCTTAACCTTCACATGGATTGGTTACGTAATTACACATGAATTAGGCAAGCCAATGACTGTCAAACCTGGAATTTAATTTGAGCTTATTCCAACTGATGAAATATACTTTTTCAAGTAAAGACTAATAAGCAGCTGCATACTAATAAGCACAACAGAAAAGAACAACTTAAATGTGAGCTAGAACCAATAACAAGAAGACAGAATTTGACTCACGTAGCCTTAGAGCATTGTGTCTTTTGGCAAATTGGTGCTGTTTTTTCTCTTTAAAGTAGGTGATAAACCTTAACAAATCTGATAGAAACATGGAAATATTCAACTAACATGGTAAGACTAAAAAAATAACAAAACAAAACTACAAAACTGCCAGATGCGAATACTAAAATAGAAACCAGCCCAATTGTCTCATAAAACTGATGTTATGGTTTCTCTTAAATAAACAGAGAAATGACCTTCGCAGACTTAAAATTTGAGAAAGACGTATTTCTCTTATCTGAGTTTTTTCTCAGAAAAGTAACTATCAGGCCTCCCAGATAATATCAAGGAACTGAAATTTACCAAATCATTGCATCTGGACAATGAGATGCCAGACCCCTCACCCTTTGTGATTGTGTAACTGACCACCAGCTTCCTGTTGAACAACTCCTCTTCTTTAACTCTCCCTAATTTTTGCTTTCCCACATGCAGTTACATTTGTTTTCTGCTATATAAACCCCTAATTTTAGCCAGCTGAAGGGATGGATTTGACATCGATCAGCTGTCTCCTTGGCTGCAGCACCCGATGAAAGCCTTCTTGCCCAACAATACTCATTCTCTCAGTGACTGGCTTTCTGTGCAGTGAGCAACGGCACCTAGACTTAACCCTAGCATTTTGTTAATAGATTTTAGTTCCCTGATTGGGAGCACCTTACTCAGGGCTTAGCTGCTATGGGCCAGGAGAGTTTCTAAAGTCGTCCTAAGCAGTTTGCCTAACCCTTTTTTGGCCAGATGTGGGTTTCAGCCTCTCTCTCTCTTTGGCTCCATCACTGCAGCCACCAAATATATTCCTGATCGGGTAGGAAGAACAGCCTTTTATATTTAATGTACATGACTAGAACGGTGAGTATCATTTGTGGGTACCAGAAAGCAGGTTCTGTTTCTCTCAATTTGAATAATTCTGAAGGAATTTTTATATGCAAATTGAACAAGCCCAGTTGATCAAGAGAAGAAAGTGCCCTGACTGTTTCAGTTTGGACATCCTTGGGGCCTATTTACTACAGCAGTTGGATTGTGCTTTGGGGATTGGGTATGTGTCAATACAGTCATAGGAAGTTACAATTCAATAAATGAATATTCTTTTCTAATACTGTTTGACATGAATGTTCTTTGGAATCTAGAGAAGTTTGGCCTCTCCATAGGCCTCATTTTGCTATTGAATGAGACACTGTGATGGAGTTCAGTGTATTCAGGTTTTTATGCTATGTTCTAAGCAGGGTTTGGCCTGGTTAGTACAGGCTGTTCTGTGGTGCTGTTTGGATCCAGTGTTCTTTGGAGTTTGGAGAAGTTTCGCTTTTAAAAATAAAACTGTCATGGAAACTGCTTTACCCAAAATTTTGGTTCATAGACTCAATTGGATTATCTATTGGGGTAATGAGGTAAACGAGGTTTAGCTTTGAGAACATGTTCATAGGCTGGGGAGCTTGTACTGCTGTCACGTGGCTAGAGTTCCAAGGTAAAAGCTATTGTTTATGAGTTTATATACATGTTTAGATGTGTTTATATGCAGGTACATTTATTATATGTTATGCCTACAAAATTGGCTTATAAATAAAAGAGCACTGGTAAATTAAGTAAATAAGTTAAAGCAATTTTCAATTTCATGTGACTTAAGTACATCTTTAATAAACAAGCTAGCTTCAAAATTATAGGTAAGATAAAAATAGAAATATCTTCAGCAATGTCAGTATACATTTTTGTCTGGGTTTTATTTTTATCTCTGATAGGTATTTTGAGATGTAAGGGTTTGGCATAGAAGGTTAGCAAACTATAAACCCAGCCAAAACAAAATTATCTTTGTTTGTGTGACAAATAAGACTAATTTAATGTTGTTAGCTTAATAAAAACAGCCAAATCTTCTGAGTTATTGGCAAAAATACCCATGCATTTAACTTTCAGTTTCTTACTTAGGTGAACACCTGATGTTTACAAGCTATAAATAAAAATGGTTAACAAAGCAATTACTTGAAATGATGGCTAACTTTGTCTAATATCTCAATTTTTCAGAAGTAATCTAGATAAACTGTAAACGAAAAAGAATTGAGTACGTACAAATGGAATACATGCTTGTGGGTGAACTTTCTGTTTAAATTTAAATTTTCATTTAAATTTAAAATCTTAAAATGATTTTTGATGGTTCTTTGATGTCTGGGTCATTTGCAATAAACAAGGGATTGTGATATGGGTAATCATGTTTTTAAAAATTGTGGAATATTCTCATCTATAAAATGCTAACATGTGATAGACAGTTCAGGATTTCCTGCTGATGGCAGCGGAAGCCTGTCTAGAGAGGCCGTTACAAAGACACTGGCTCCAGCAGGGGAGGCATGGTCAGGGTTGCACCTGGGCGCTGTGGATGACATGTTAATGGCAGCCGGAGGCAGACAGGTTCCTGGATGCAAAAGGGAGGGTCCCTGGTGCAACACCACCTTCAAGCCAGGGATAGCTTGAAGCTTGGGTGGCTGGGCTGCCAGTTCTGGGTAGAGTCCGTGGCCTGGAGTGAGAATATATGGTGCTTTTTCCAGGCCCACCCTTGGCTACCCATGGACCAATTGGTGTGTACTTACTCCTCCTTCCGAGCCCGTAGAAACCCTGGACTCAGTCAGACTCACACAGACGTAGGGATGACCTGCCTGTGGAAAGGAGCCACCCACTTCGGTTCTCCTTAGAGCTCTTCTATCCCTCAATGTAAGCTTCTCTCCGCCTTGCTCTCCCTCCAGTTATCCATGTATCTCATTCTTTCTGGACACAGGACAAAAACTCGGGACCCACCTAATGGCGGGACTGAAAGAGCCTTGACACAAACAGGGCTGAAACACGAGCCTCACTTGCCATATTGTAGGTGACGAGGAGAGAAGAGCTGTGGCCCTTCAGGGAGCCCAGACCTATGGGCTCCCCAAGTCAGGGGTGTGACACCCTCTTTGGGGCTCTGTGGTTCCTGGCATCTCAAGGAATTATTTATTTATTTATTTGCTGTTTACTTCGCGTTTTATTTATATATACATATATAAAATCATTGATGTATTTTAGTTTCTAATGGAAGGTTTATGTTTGCTTCTATGAATAGTCATTTTGTTTCTTATGCATTTCCAACAGTTCATAATTTCCTCTATTTGCATAAAATTCCTAAGCTATCTTTGTCAAGCCTCCACAAAATGAAGAGCACACTAGCAATTTAAAAAATAAATAAAATTGAATGGTTTTGTTTACCTCTGAGGATTTAGAGAGATATAAGAGCTTCAGTTTCCTGGCCAAAAATAAAAATACTTATTTTTAAAAGTCTAAACAAAAATGATATATTATTTATTTTGTTATTTGGAAAAGTGGAGGGGAGAAGAAATGTTAAAATAACTTTTATTTCCAAGATAATTCAGTACATTCAATAATTTGAATTGGTTTCAGATCTTTTCCTTTAGGTAATTAGGAAATACTTGATATGCATACGTTTAATATTCAGAAAATATTATAATTGTCCTTAAGAAAATTAAATTGGCTGGGTGCAGTGGCTCACTCTTGTAATCCCAGCATCTTGGAAGGCTGAGATAGAAGAAACACTTGAAACTTGAGTCCAGGAGTTTGAGATCAGCCTGGGCAACATAGTGAGACCTTATCTCTATAAAAAATTAACAAAATTCGCCAGACATGTGGTGCATGCCTGTAATCCCAGCTACTTGGGAGGCTGAGGCAGGAGGATCCCTTGAGTCTAGGAGTTTGAGTCTGTAGTGAGCTATGATTGCACCACTGTACTTCAACCTGAGTGACACAGCAAGATCCTGACTCAAAAAAAAAAAAAAAAAGGAAAGAAAAGAAAAAAGAAAAGTAAAGAAAAAAATGATATTGACTGGGATTTTCTCAAATTATTTTAGTTGTGTTTACCATTATTAAAATTAAGTGACATTCACTTGGATAGGAATACAAAAAGTTAAATTTTTTAGTGATTTTAAAATCACTGTTGGGCCTTCATGTGTGCAATTGAAAATAAAATATATACAGTTGTTGCGCTGGTTTGAAGAATGCAGTGGTGAAAGTTACCAAATCAGTTATCAGTACTGTATCTAGAAACCAATCTTGGAAACATGTGTTAATAGTCTTTTAAAATAGTTGGCAAGAAATTATTGTGTGGTTGTTCTTATGTTGTGTTTGTTTTGTTGCATAGCATTTAAATGTAAGGAGATTATTTATACTTATACTGAATTTCCAAAATTGATATTTGCATTTACCTTTTTTTTTGATAAACAGAAAAGTTCATTGTCTTACTTTGATAAGTTTGCCATATGACCTATCACAGTTTTTATGCTTTTGGTCACAGTTCTGTTACTGGAATTCTAGCAATTAGACATACACAAAGCATAACCTAACCACTGTAATAAAATGGTTTGAAGAGCTACAGTCAGTAACTACTAAACACCGAATCACAGTGTTTTAATTTATGATGTGTTAGAGAGAATGGTAGGACTTTCGGCAATGTAAATATCTTATTAACTGCACCTGAAATGCTGTTAAGTTACAGCACTTTGACTTCTGTATCCAAAAAAAGATCCAACTTCTGCTATATCTTAAAACACTGACACCAAAGCCTCAACTTCAGATGTGGAAGAAGGTGACAATCAAAATCAACTGCTTTTGTGAGACACAGGTCCAAAAATAAAAACTATTTAATTCCTCTGGGCCCAGAGACTATCACAGAAGAGGTGAACATGTGAGATTGTAAGGGCTAATTCTGAGGAATAAAATTAGTTCAGAATTTTTCTATAAATTAAACTTAATATCAAAAACACACAGATGCAAGGCCATTATGTGGAGCCCTGTGTCAGAATAACCAGGTTTTTTGGAGCACGGATCTTCTTTTTAATAGAAAATTGTAAAAGATTATTAAAGATTTATAGAAATCTTACCTTATGGTAAAACTGATTAAAATTAGATAGATTTACTTATACGTTTATTAAAAATAGCTTTAACATTAATAACATACCTTACAAAGTAAAATTTGTTTTTTCTGTTTTGAACAACATTTTGTGCAATATTAAGGAGATAATAAAACATTTTTATCTTTTGAGTAAACTGCAGAAAAAAAGGACAAGGGAGTGACAGATTTAGTTGGCCTCATGCTGTCTTTATTAGGTTTTAATGTTTGGGAAACTAAATCTCTTCTCTATCCAAGTGTAAATGCTTTCGTTTTATCATTTTGTCTCAATAAATGACTATTTTATAGTGACCTGTGATCTGATTTTGTGACATAGAGTTTGTAAACCTCTGATTTTTGACAAACTTTCTGAAAGCAAAATTTCAAGTTTTAAATTCAGTATTTTTGACTGCAAACTTTGTTCTGGATGTTGGCGCCCCTGAGTCCAAGAGAGATGCATTTGGATTATATTGCATATTAGAATTATACAGGAAACGTTGTTAAGTATGAGGTGTTGTTTAACTTTCTTTGAATTATATTTATATAGATGTGTTATTAATATGTGTTCCAAGATTGTCTGAGATTCCTGAAATTCTTGTATGTCTTAATATATCTTGGCAGTAATGATTGATTATTATTAAATTGTGGTATGCCACAGAAACAACCAAATTTCCTTGTCAACTATGTCTTTAACTATGGCTGTCCTAATACTTTTGTCATCCACAATTAGTCTCTTTTTAAAAATTTGTTTAATTCTTCCCAAAAAATGGCTTATAATCAGCTATAATCAAGGGCTTGCTTCTTTGAGGGAGTTCATTGAAGGACTCTTGAATGCAAGTTTCTGATAACTTAGGAGATTGTGCCATTGGACTAGAGAGAAAACTTCCAAGACTACAATTAAAAGGCTAATGTGTTCATAATGATAGCTAACTCAATACGAAGCAGAGCCAGAGTTGATTGCATAGATTGAAATATTGCTGATTCTTTTTGCTTTATTTTTCAGGGTCTGAAGAACAATTTTCTTTTGAATTATTCATAGCCTTTAACTATTGAGTAAAGTATACCCTTATAAACAGAATTTTAGGCATATTTCTCTATCTCTGCCTGATTTCTACAGAATTCATAACTATTTATGAATATTCTTAATTCATGACAATGTGGTTTTTTGCATAAGTTTGATAAGAGTCCTTTCTTTTAATAATGGGGTACAATTGGAAGCACTGATTATTTTATCATGGATTTGACTGGAATAGCATGTTTTTGGATATAAGCAGATTGCTCTAAAAAATTGAAATTGACTTTATAGAGCCAATGGGAGCCTTTTGGAAGGGTTGGCTTTGTACCTTATCTATGCTGTGCCTTTAGAGAGTTCCTGTCCTGTGGTAAATAGAGAGAGTCACTTTCTGACAGGCCTAAGATCCTCAATTTGTTTTGGGGCCTCAAGAAACAAAAGGTTCTCCCAATTCATGTAAGTAACTGCAGGTGCAGATGGATCCTTGGCTGGGCTTGAGAGGCCTTTGGAGGTCAAGTATGGGATTACCATGAGAGATTTCTGCAAAGCCAATTTAGAGGAGCCTATATGAACAATGATTCATTCTGCACTTTGCGTGGATAATCAGGCCAAGTATGGTGGGACTGAAGCTTATTTTTCAGGTAGTTTGGCCCTGCTGTGATTTGTCTTTGGTGGAAGTGGAGGACTGGAGAGAGAAATATTGTATTTCAGAAAAAAAATAGTATTAGATTAACCTTTCATTCTTGGGTGGCCATATGGTCACCCATGGTATGGAGTGGCCACAATGCCCTTCCTCATCATGAAGCAGCCAGAAAGATCAACTACCAGATTCCCCATGATTGAAGAATTGATAAATAGAAAGGAGGACTGAAACTGGCCTAATTGTCCCTTAGAACTCATGTTTATGGTTTCTTTTGAATAAACATAGAAACTGACCCTCCCAGCCTTGAACCTTGAGAAAGTTATATTTGTCTTATCTGAGTTTCTTTCTCAGGATAGCAACCATCAGGACTCCCAGATAATATCAAGGAACTGAAACTCGTCATATCAGTGCATTTGGACAATGAGATGTCAGACCCCTCACCAGTCATGATTGCCTAGCTGACCACCTGCTTCCTGTTGACCAACTCCTCTTACTTATTCCTCCCTAACTGCTGTTTTCTTTAATGTAGTTATGTTTCTTCCCTGCTATATAAGCTCCTAATTTTAGCCAGTTGAGGAGATGAATTTGAGACTGTTCTCCCTACTTACAGGCTGCAGAACCTGATTAAAGCCTTCTACCCTTTCAATACTCATCTCAGTAAATGACTTTCTGTATGGCAAAAAATGGGACCTAGACTGAATTCCTGGCATTTTTTGGTAATGCAGTTACTAGAATTAAAAACCTAGGGTATTATTTCAACACCAGCCACGATGGAATAGAATCACTATAAACCTATCACTCCCACTAATTTCACGTAAAAAATCTGGACAACATTCAAAAGCAACATCAGGAGAACAATGAAAAGTAAAGAACAGTGGGTAGATTTGGGAGAGAAATCAAAATTTGAAGAACACACTGTACTATGGGGACTTTCCTCTTCATTTGCTTTTTTTCTCATTTATATTTTGACATTGTTCCAATGTTGGCCCAACTTATAGAACTAGAAACTAGGTACAGACACACACACCACACACACACACACACACACACACACACACAAACAGAAAAAACCCTCTAAGAAAAATCTTCTAGCTCTGACTAGAAGACTAAGAAAAGAGCCCCTAACAGCTGCATAGTATGAGGAAACACCTTGTTTTATTTGCTTTTGATCTTTTATCTCCCAGGCACTAAAAATGATTTTTAAAAAATTTATCAACCAGAAAAATGAGTCTCTGGACCCTGGAGAGTGTGGGGGGAAAACCCTGATTAAAGAAAGCTGCTGAAGAAATTTTAGTAACACTGTGTAGATCTAACACAAGGACTAGGTTAATCAATAAGCTGTGCATACATACATGAAAGAGATCCAAGGAAGTAGAGCACACATCATGCAAAGGCTGTGAGAAGAGAACTATGACATAAAGCATCACTCATGTCTCTTAACTTTGGAGTGGCCCATGCTCATGATGAACCCAAATAGCCTGGAAACATTTTTGAAACTTAAACTAACATTGGAATCACTGCCCACACAAATATCAGTTCACACCTGAGTTAATTTTCTGATAAAATGAGCAAATTAACATCCTCTAAGGAATTTTAACAGAACAGAGATTTTCCCAAGATGTTTTGTATTTCAAGGATGCAATACAATAGTACTTGACATATAAAAAGCAAGAATATCTGGTAAGTTAAAAACATTTAATCAATTAATTAAATAAAATTTTCTTAAATAAAGTCAACTTCTGGTGACCAAGATGTTTCAATTATCACATAAAACTTCAATATAGAACTGAGGAACAGAGGGAAAATAATACATTGATATTCATTAAACAGTGCCAACCATACTTGTAGAATACTATCAAATACCTAATATTTGTGTCACTTAAGTTCCAGAAGAAGGCAGGAAAGAGATCTGTGCAAAAACAAAACCAAAAATATTTGAAGGAATATTGTTTGAAAACATCTCAAAATTAGTGAAAAACATACATTACGTATTCCAGAAGCTTAGCAAATCCCAAAGAGTATAAACTCAAAGGAAACCTCAGAAAACCAAAGGTAAAGAAAAGCAAACTTTTCAGCATCTAGTGGAAGTCAAAACATTACATACAAAGATAATTTGAATAAATATAAATATAACATCACAAAATAAAGAAGACAGTGCAAACTGTTCAAAGTGCTTAGAGAAAAAATGTAAGTCAACACCTAATTCTATACTGGGTGAAAATACACTTCAATGATAAAGAAAAATAGACATTCTTAGATGAAAAAAACTGAAAGAATTTGTCACCAGTGGATTTGCTTTAAAATAATTGTTAAAGGAAGTTCTTCAGGCTGAACAAAAGTAATGCCAGTGGGAAACGTGGAATTTTATAAATGAAGACAGAACAGTAGAAATAGTTTTAAAAAATCACCATAAATATAAAAGTTTAAACATATAAAGTGGTCTTTCTCCTCTTAAATTCATTAAAATATGTTTGACTGTTTAAAGTCAATATTATAACATTTACTGGTGGACTTGAAGTTGTAATAGGTAATATGTATGAAAATTAAAGCTAAATCAAGAGGGAAAAATTAATTGATATGGCAGTAAAAATGTTACATTTTCTTTGATATTATAAATGATGACTTTAAGAAGGCTATAATTTAGGTGTGTATACTATACTCCTTAGAGTACAATAATACACAGCAAAAAAGTTAATGAGTATATTAAATTTGGAGATGTAAAAAATTTAAAATATTTTGAAGGAAGAAAGGAAAGGTTGAATGGGAGAGGAGGAGGAAAAACTGAAAACAATAAATGGTAGACCTAAATTTGAATTATATCAATAACTACATAAAATACAAATGCTATAAACACCAAATGCTAATATAATTAAAAGAAACACTGGATAAACTTGCAATCATAATTAAAACTTCAGCACCCCTCTCTCGGCAATTGATAGAAAAGTAGACATAAAGCAATCAAGATATTACAGACCTGAATAATAGTAGCAACTAGCTTTTAACTCTTTGGCATTTTAAAACATCTGACCAATTAAATACAAATACTTTCAAATTTATGTGAAACATTTACATTTACCAAGGTTGATCATGTTATACAGGCCATAAAACAACTTTCAGGAATGTTAAAAAACTGAAATCAATTAATGTTTGTCCTTTGACCATAATCTGGTTAAATCGGAAAAAAAAGATAAAAAATCTTGAAAAATTCCCAAATAAGACATTAAACAACACACTTATAACCTAAGCTTACACTGAAAAAGTGAGAAAACAGTGATTTAAATATAAAGCAAGAAGATAATAAAAATCGTGAGTAAATAAGCATAAATTCTAAAATTGAAAGCAGAAAATCTATTAAGAAAAATCAATAAAACCAAAGGCACTTTCTCTGAAAAGATCAACAAAATGGATAAAGCTCTATCAAACTAATCAAATAAAAGAAAGAAAACACAAGTTATCCATGTCCAGAATGCAAGAAGTGGTATCATTACAGAAATAACAGATTTTGAAACAAAAATAATGCAATTCCACAAACAAAAGTAGACCCATAAATACAAAAATTTTAATGAAATTAATCAATTTTATTACAGGCATAAAATATCATATCTTGCTTAAAGAAAAAATAATCGAAATAGTTCTAAAAGAGGTACAGAAACGGAAGTTTAATTAAAATCTTCCAAAAAGGAAACCACAAGCTCACATGGTTTTAGTGGCAAATTCTATAAAAAACTTACGAAAAAAAAATTGACTATCTTTTTTAGGATGTAGAAGACAGAGTACTCCCCTTTTATTTTTTAATGAGACAAAAATCCATATTATGTTGATACCAAAATCATATGCAGTTATTATAATAAAATTAAAAAATAGTATTTCTCATACTGATGCAAATACCCTAATTAAAATGTTAACAAATTGAATACAACAATATATAAAAATGCATAATAATACAATAAATTCAGGTTTATTCCCAGAATGCAAGGGTGGCTCAATATTTGAAAATTACTTCATATAATTGCCATATTATCAGATCAAAGTAGAAAAAAATATAATAATAAATGCAGAAAAAACACTTGACAAAATCAACATATATTCATGATAAAAACTCTCACCAAACTAGGAACATAATAGAGCTTCAGTAACCTATTGAAAGGCAAAATACGGTAGTCTCCTTTTAACTGTGTGGGATACATTCCAAGACTCCCAGTGGATGTCTGAAGCCACTGATAGTACTTGATATAGTATAGCTCTGTGTCCCCACCCAAATCTCACCTTGAATTGTAATCCCCATAATCCCCAAGTGTCAAGGGCAAGACCAGGTGGAGGTAATTCGATCATGGGGGAAGTTCTCCCATGCTGTTCTCGTGATAGTGAGTGAGTTCTCACAAGATCTGATGATTTTATAAGCATCTGGTGTTTCCCCTGCTTGCACTCACTCCATCCTGCTGCTCTGTGAAGAAGGTACCTTCCTCTCCTTTGCTTTCGGCCGTGATTGTAAGTTTCCTGAGACTTCCTCAGCAATGCAGAAATATGAATCAATTTAACCTCTTTCCTTTATAAGTTACCCAGTCTTGGGCAGTTCTTTATAGCAGTATGAAAATGAACTAATACAGTAACTAAATCTATATATACTGTTTTTTCTCTATATACATATCTATGGTAAAGTTTAATCTATAAATTAAACACAGAGACTGATAACAATAATAATAAAATAAAACAGTTATAACAATATGCTGTAATAAATGTTATGTGCATGTTTTTTCTCTCTCTCTCTCTGAAAATATCTTATTGTATGATATTCATTTATTATCAGAGTGAGGGTAACTGAAACCTCCAAAAACAAAACTTCAGATAAGAGGAGACTTCTGTAATAAATGTACTGCAAGAAAACAGGAGAAAATTGTTGTTGGGTTAAGCTTGGGTTAAGCAGAGCATTCTTCAATATGACACCAAGAGCAAGATCCATAGAGAAATAAAATGAAAAGTTGGAATTCCTCTAAATTAAAACCTTTATCTCTGTGAAAGTCACCATTAAGAGATAAAAAGACAAGTCACACGTTTAGAAAAAACATTTTCAACTCACTTGTCTGAAAATGAACTTGTATTCAAAATATATTAGAAAAATTACATCAACAATAAGAAACTGAACAACCTAACTTTAAAAATGACAAATGCTTGATAGGATGTTTCATCAAAGAAAATATACTTTTAGCAAATAAACACATGAAAAGATATTTGCAGGTTTTTTAGAAGTGGATTGTTTACTTTCCAAGTACAGGGGCAGGGGAAGGTTATATATTCTTATATTATTGGATTCTAGCTTAATTCCATTTCAGTCAGTGAAATCTACTAGACAGTTGCTTCATGATCCATCATATGGCCTATGTTGTTGAAGCATTTTTGTACCTTTGTAAAAATATGGATTCTGCATTGTTGGATGTGATGTTTTGTAAATTTGACTAAGATAAGTGTGTTTATAGTCTGCGATAGACAGAATAATGGTCCTCCAAAGATGTTCATGTCCTAATAATTAGAACCTGTAAATATGTTATGCACCTGGCAAAAGGGAGTTGAATTTGTGAAATTAAGGCCAGGCACAGTGGCTCACACCTGTAATCTCAGCACTTTGGGAGGCCGAGGCGGGTGGATCACTTGAGGTTAGGAGTTTGAGATCAACTTCGCCAACATAGTGAAACCCCATCTGTATTAAAAATATAACCAATTTTAAAAATTACAAAGCCTGATTTCAACCAGTGGGACAGAAGAGAAGAAATAAGGACAAGGCTCCTGCATCCACATGAGTCCAAAGTCAGGAAAAGACATGAGGACACATCAAGTTTGACCTTTGAACATTTGAACAGAAAGTACTGGACAAGCCAATAACCAGGAAAATATTTCAAGTTCTGGCCAGAGAGTCTAACCCTGGTTTTTACTTCCCCTCCATCTAACATTGGCCTGTAAACATCTGTCCCCCACCTCCTGAGTGTTCAATTCCGTTGAAGTGCTTTCAAATATCCTCCAAGTTATACCCAAAAACTATGAATCTGAATGTTACCAAATGTTTCTTTCCAGCTGCACCAGAGTCGTGCTGAGTTCCACCTAGGCAAGTCCCAGTGGTCTGCAGCACTCTTGATTTCTTCAATCAGATAGTAGGCATCTCCAGACCCAGGAATGACTCAGCTTCACTTTTAATTTGAGATTTTATACTCTGCATCACTCCTAAATCATTTAAGAAAGCTGAAATAGCTTTTCCATTTTCCAAACTCCCCAGACCAAATATAGTGCTGATTATACCCAACAGGTATTAAATAGGGGGGTGATTGCAGTTAAAAAAAAAATACAAAAATTAGCGGGGTGTGGTGGCATGGCCTGTAGTCCCAGTTACACAAGAGGCTAAGGGAGGAGAATCGCTTGAACCCTGGAGGTGGAGGTTGCAGTGAGCTGAGATCACACCACTGCACTCCAGCCTGGGCAACAGAATGAGGCTTTGTGTCAAAAAACAAAACAAAACAAAAGAAAACAAAACAGATTGCTCTTCATCTAAATTTAAAATGAATACGTTATCCTGATGAATCCAATATAATTAGAAAGGTCCTTTAAAGTACAAGAGATAGACAGATGAGGAGGTTGGAACTATCTGTCATTACTGGCTTTGAAGATGGAGGAAGAGAGCCAGAAACAAAGGGATGTGAGACTTCAGCTGCTAGAGAAGGCAAGGAACTTGTTCTTTAGTGCCTCCAGAAAAACAGAAAAATGCAGACCTACTGACACCCTTTTGAGTTTTGCAGTGAGACTCATTTTGGACTTCTGATCACCAGAACAGGTAGAAAAGAAAATATTTCAAGTTAGTAAGTTTTTGGTTGGTAAATGTTACAGCAGTAATAAGAAACAAACACATCTTCTGAACTTTTAATTGAAATATGTTTTTAAATTGTCAACAGTAATTGTGGATTTGAGCATTTATTCTTTCAGTCCCATTGATTTAACTTCGTATGTTTTTAGGTGTGTACATCTTTATGATTTTGTGTCATCTTGATTATTTGACCTATTATCAGTATAAAATGATAAAATTCATCTATTTATTTGATATGAATATAGCCATTCCGGCTTTCATACAATTACTATAAAGATAGTGTGTAATCTATTGAACTTCAAAAAGAATATTACACTAGCTCTTGTGGTGTTTTTGGCCGTGTGTGTATGTGTGTGTGTGTGTGTGTGTGTGTGTGTGTATGGCTTTTAATTAAAGTGCTAAGTACCCTGACAAATAATGTAATTATTAATATTATTGTTTTTAATTCTGTTCAATTGCTGTTTGTATAGCATGTGTCTTATCGTTTTTTGTTCTCTCTTTCTTTAGATTAAGGTAGTATTATTGTTTAAGTAATTTAGTACTTTCAATATTTTAATCCTTCTATTGACTACTTCACTATAACTTTTAAATTGCATTTTTCATGGCCACTGTAGAGATTAAAGTAAAATCTTTAATTCATAATAATTCACTTTGAATTTTTTGTAAATTACACTTTATAAATAATGTAAGGGATTTACAATAATATGCTTTCATTTATAACTCATCTCCTCTTTATGGTACTGTGTAAATTTTCTCCCTATGTTAAACTGTGGTGTATTTGAGAATTCATGTTGTTAATATTGTAGAATATTTTTACTTGATAATTGATTCTCAGATAACACTTCTTTATAATTTTAAAGACTGCTTTCTTGCTTTTAGTGTTTCTGAGAAGTAATCTGTTTTATTTTTCATTGCTTTTTTGTATGTAATTGTCTTTGGATACTTAAAAAATGTGTCTGTTTTTGGGTTTCAGCACTTTGACCGTTATGTGCTTAGATGTGGTTTTCTTTGTAATTATTCTGTTTGCAATTTGCTGACCTTTTTTGGAGCTGTTGATATCACTCATCAGTTCTGAAAAATTCATGGCCATTAGATTTTCAGTGATTCCTACTTTCACTTCTGTTATTCTGGGATTTCAGTTACACGTATGTTTCTTGTGCCTTCTTTTTCTTTGTTTTTTTCCTTTTCTCTGCTGTCTGAACAATTTTTCACTAACCTGTTCTCAGTTAGACCTTACATCTGTTTTGCTATTTCTGCTGCTAATGGCATGCAGTACATTCTTTATTATAAGTGTTATATTTTTTAGTCCTAAAGATTAATTTGTATTGCTTTTTTCTTTATTATGTCATCTTTCCACTCACTTTTCCCCATGTTTTTCTTTAAATTCTTTAACATATATTAATAGTTATTTAAGAGTCCTTGTTTTCTAAATTCAACATGAGCCAGTTATAGATTTTACTAATTAATGATGGTTTGATTATGGTTTATATTTTCATGTGTCTCCTCATATCTTACAATATTTATAACTTATACTTGACATATTGTATTAAAAAGAGACTAGTGTAGAAAATGTTCTCTCAGAAATAACTTTTTTTTTCTACTGTCAGGCACCTACGGTGAGGGTTTGTTCTGTTACTCCTTCTATTCAGGATATGCAATGGGTCAGACACCTATTAGAACATTAATTATTGTTAATTCTGCTCCGATATCTAATATCTTGTGGGTGATTTGGAGGAGTTTCCTAAAGCAGGGCTTTGGGATCTAAGCCCTCTGAGACTCAGGATATTTTTCTGCTTTTTATCCTACACCCCAATTTCTTTTTTCTCTTCTCACTCAGCAGAAGTCCCATGGACAAGAATTGGAAAGTGGAAGAAAGTGCAGGGAAGCCTAACTCTGTGGTATAGGCACCTCTAGAATACAGTCTACCACACTAGTCTCCATGAGGCTATTGGATGTTCACCTGTTTTTCCTTAGGTTGGCAATGTTTACCTGCCTAGCACAAACTTACTCTTCCAACATCCTGTTCTTCTAGACACAGCAAACCCTCTAGATTTTATAATGGCCTACTATCTCTGCTTATTTAGTAAAGATTTGTCCTTTTCTGGAATTTGATTTAATTACTTGCTATCTAATTTGTTATATATCTTTATTTATTGATTAATATTTCAGTTTATCTGGTATTCACTTAATCTTACAGCAGAAATAATGATATTTTGCTGTAGTATACTCAGCAATAATATCTACAAGCTATTCAGAAGAGACAACCTCAAAATAACTTTGATTTTGAAGACTGTTGTTTGTACTCTGGAAATATTTGCCTTCTCAATGAGGAAATCACTTAAAAATATTCATTACCTAACCAGTGAGGTAAGGAAGATTCTTTTATTTATCCATTTACACAGTTACATATTCTTGAAAATATTTATTTACAATCTTATATTTTAACTCCTCATGTAAATACAGAGTTTAACAACAAGCAAATCAAACACAAAACAAAACAACAAAGAAAATTAAAATACAAAAAAAAAAACTCCCAAGCAATAACAAGACCAAAACACTATTAGTCTACTGGGTAATAGGTAATAAAAGAAAGCTGATTTTGAATACTGAGCTAGCAACCTAATCACAGAAAAAAAAAGTATGCTGTGGTATTTATTTATTTGTGTGTTGCTCTTTCCTTTACTAGACCTCCAATTTAATCTGTGTTGATTTTGTTTAACATTTTATGCTTAATGCTCTGAGAGCCATTATGCTTTCTATAGATCAGCAATCAAATCATTGTGCAAATATTTGCTGAATGAATAAATTTATTTAGGTTAGCAACCAAACATCTGGGAGTTCATACTTTTTTTTTTAAAAAAAAAGAAAGAACTGGATACAAATAGTCTTAGACAAATGTAATGAGTGTGATTGCCATAATATTGTAAAAATATGTTAATGTAAGATGTAATTTAGAGCAGGACATCTGCAGTCAAGTTTCCTGACTTTCAAGGCCAGTTCTACCACTTACTACCTTTGTCACTTTGGTAAGTTACTTCAAACTCAGGTACCTTAATTTCTTCATCTCTGTTTGGAAAAACAGTAGTAACTTCACTGTGAGTTGTTGTGAGTATTGATTAATGTTTATGAAGTGTTTAGAAGAGCTCCTGGCATTAAATAAGCACAATATAAATGTTTGCTAGTCATAGCTGTAGTAGTAGTGGTGGTAGTGTCTGTGAATGTTGTTATTACTTTTATACTGCTGCAAGGGAAATTACGTCAAGCTTAGTGCTTTAAAACAACACTCTTTGAAATTAAGGCAGTTATTAAGAGCCTACCAACCAAAAAAAATCCCAGGACCAGAGGGATTCACAGCTGAATACTGCTAGAGGTACAAAGAGGAGCTGGTATAATTCCTTCTGAAACTATTCCAAACAATAGAAAAAGGGGGACTCCTCTCTAACTCATTTTATGAGGCCAGAATCATCTAGATACCAAAACCTGGATGAGAAACAACAAAAAAAGAAAATTTCAGGACAATATCGCTGATGAACATTAATGTGAAAATCCTCAATAAAATACTGAGAAATCAAATCCAGCAGCACATCAAAAAGCTTATCTACAACGATCAAGTCGGCTTCATCCCTGGGATGCAAGGCTGGTTCAACATATGCAAATCAATAAACGTAATCCATCACATAAACAGAACCAATGACAAAAACCACATGATTATCTCAATAGATGCAGAAAAGGCCTTCGGCAGGATTCAATACCCCGTATGGTAAAAACTCTCAATAAACTAGGTATTGATGGAATATATCACAAAATAATAAGAGCTATTTAGGACAAACCCATAGCCAATATCATATTGAAAGGGCAAAAGCTGGAAACATTCCCGTTGAAAACTGGCACAAGACAATGATGCTCTCTCTCACCATTCCTATTCAACATAGTATTGGAAGTTCTGGCCAGAGCAATCAGGCAAGAGAAGGAAATAAAGGGTATTGAGATAGGAAGAGAGGAAGTCAAATTGTCTCTCTTTGCATATGGCATGATTGTATATTTAGAAAACCCCCCATCATCTCAGCCCTAAAACTCCTTAAGCTGATAAAAAAAAAACTTCAGCAAAATCTCAGGATAAAAGCAATGTGCAAAAATAACAAGCATTCCTATACACCAATAATAGACAAGCAGAGAGCCAAATCATGAGTGAACTACCTTTCACAATGCTACAGTGAAAATAAAATACCTAGAAATACAACTTACAAGGGATGTGAAGAAACTCTTCAAGGAGAACTACAAACCACTGCTCAAGGAAATATGAGAGCACACAAACAAATGGAAGAACATTCCATGCTCATGCATAGGAAGAATCAATATCGTGAAAATGGCCATACTGCCCAAAGTAATTTACAGATTCAATGCTGTACCCATCAACCTACCACTGCCTTTCTTCACAGAACTAGAAAAAACTTCTTTAAATTTTATATAGAACCAAAAAAGACCCCATATAGCCAAGACAATCCTAAGCAAAAAGAACAAAGCTGGAGGCATCATGCTACCTGACTTCAAAATATATTTACAAGGCTACAGTAACCAAAACAGCATGGTACTGGTACCAAAACAGATATATAGACCAATGGAATAAAACAGAGGCCTCAGAAACAACACCACACATCTACAACCATCTGATCTTCAACAAACCTGACAAAAACAAGCAATGGAGAAAGGATTTCCTATTTAATAAATGGTGTTGGGAAAACTGGCTAGCCATATGTAGAAAATAGAAACCTGACCCCTTCCTTACACCTTATACAAAAATTAACTCAAGATGGATTAAAGACTTAAATATAAAACCTAGAACTATAAAAACCTTAGAAGAAAACCTAGGCAATACCATTCAGGACATAGGCATGGGCAAAAGCTTCATGACTAAAACACCAAAAGCAATGATAACAAAAGCCACAATTGACAAATGGGATTTAATTAAACTAAAGAGCTTATGCCCAGCAAAAGAAAATATCATTAGATTGAACAGGCAACCTACAGAATGGAAGGACATTTCTGTAATCTATCCATCTGACAAAGGTCTAATATCAAGAATCTACAAGGAACTTAAACAAATTTACAAGAAAAAAACAACTCTACCAAAAAGTGGGCAAAGGATATGAACAGTCACTTCTCAAAAGAAGACATTTATGCAGCCAAGAAACATATGAAACAAAGCTCATCATCCCTGGTCATTGGAGAAATGGAAATCAAAACCACAATGAGATATCATCTCATGCCAGTTAGAATGGTGATTATTAAAAAGTCTGGAAACAACAGATGCTGGAAAGGATGCAGAGAAATAGGCACACTTTTACACTGTTGGTGGGATTGTAAATTAGTTCAACCATGTAGAAGACAGTGTGGCGATTCCTCAGGGATCTAGAACCAGAAACACCATTTGACCCAGCAATCCCATTACTGGGTATATACCCAAAGGATAACAAATCATTCTACTATAAAGACACATGCACACCTATGTTTATTGCAGCACTATTCACAATAGCAAAGACTTGGAACCAATCCAAATGCCCATTAATGATAGACTGGATAAAGAAAATGTGACACATATACACCGTGGAATACTATGTAGCCATAAAAAAGAATTAGTTCATATCCTTTGCAGAGACATGGATGAAGCTGGAAACCATCATTCTCAGCAAACTAACATGGGAACAGAAAACTCAACACCTCATGTTCTCACTCATAAGTGGGAGCTGAAAAATGAGAACACATGAAAGGGAACAGGGAGGGAAACATCACACACCAGGGCCTGTCAGGGGATGGGGGGAAAGGGGAGGAAGAGCATTAGGACGAATAACTCATGCATCTGGGCTTAAAACCTAGATGACAAGCTGATAGGTGCAGCAAACCACCATGGCACATTTATACCTACGTAACAAACCTGCACACGTATCCCAGAGCCTAAAGTAAAAACAAAACAAAACAAACAAACAAAAACCCTCATTATTTACCTCTCAGTTCTGTAGGTCAGATGACTGGGTTCTATGCTTATTGATTCATAAGGCCAAAATCAAGGTATTGTTCAGGCTGGGTTCTTATTGGAAGCTTTCACCTTTAGAGAACAAGTTGCTTTGAAGCTCATTTAGTTTACTGGCAGATTTCAATTACTCGTAGCATTGAAGCCCCTGATTTCTTGTTGGGACTTCTCTCATTTGCTATCAGCTGTTCTCAGAACCCTGCCTCTTAGTCTTCTAGGCAAAGATAAACTTCTTTGTATCAAATCCCTTATTTTTCAAATCTCTAGGACTTCCTCTTCTACTACTAGTCAGAGAACACTCTGCTTTTATTTATTTATTTATTTTATTATACTTTAAGTTTTAGGGTACATGTGCACAATGTGCAGGTTAGTTACATATGTATACATGTGCCACGCTGGTGTGCTGCACCCACTAACTCGTCATCTAGCATTAGGTATATCTCCCAATGCTATCCCTCCCCCCTCCCCCCACCCCACAACAGTCCCCAGAGTGTGATATTCCCCTTCCTGTGTCCATGTGATCTCATTGTTCAATTCCCACCTATGAGTGAGAATATGCGGTGTTTGGTTTTTTGTTCTTGTGATAGTTTACTGAGAATGATGATTTCCAATTTCATCCATGTCCCTACAAAGGACATGAACTCATCATTTTTTATGGCTGCATAGTATTCCATGGTGTATATGTGCCACATTTTCTTAATCCAGTCTATCATTGTTGGACATTTGGGTTGGTTCCAAGTCTTTGCTATTGTGAATAGTGCCGCAATAAACATACGTGTGCATGTGTCTTTATAGCAGCATGATTTATAGTCCTTTGGGTATAGAACACTCTGCTTTTAAAGGCTCATGTGATTAGATTAAATTCACTCTGAAAACCTGTATATTTTAACCTATATGTCTTAAGATCCATTAAGTAAACTTAATTAAATATATAAAATCCCTTTTGCCACGTAACACAATTAAGGTAATATCATGGGGCCACCTTAGAATTATGTCTGCTACATTCATTCTTATACCAGGTATTCCACAAAAGGGCTTACTGAGAAATTTCAGTTTGAGAATTTACTGCAATAACAACCATACATACCAATTATCCCTTTATTAAGCCTCCCTTTACTCCAGTAATAGAAGGAAAGAATTGGCAGAAAGATATAATCATTTTAGGGAATTGAATGTCTCTAAGGAAAACCTTTAGTATCTTTTCTTTCACTCATGCCTCTGTTTCCCAGAGAGTATGGAAAACTTCAGTAGGATCACTTAGTGATACTAAACTGGTGCTCTCTCCATAAGCAAAAACTGCTGAGCATTTTTCCTTTGATTCTTGAATAACCTCCTGAAACAGGAGTGCACTGATTATGTTGGGATATTAGAAAATGGGTAGGAGACAGATGGCATGGATCAGAGACGAACTATTCGTGAATCAGTTGGCAGGGATCAGAGATGAACTATTTGTGAATCAGCCAAAAGTTCTACTGTATGGTTTGGCAAAAATATGAGCTTTCTGGCCCAAGAAAGTCTTCTCTAAATATTTTTCCATATCTAGGTATGGCCACAGCTTGTGATTAAAGGACAGTCAAATTTTGGTTATTTTGTAAAATTACAATGTATTTATGGTAAATTAAAACCAACATTGTCATTAATAAAATGATTGTTTTGAGCAAAGCAAGTTAATAATTACAAGATGCCATGTGTAGGGCCACACAGGACACAAAGGCAGATAAAGCCTGGTTGCAATCTCTTTCAGTTTTAACTTTAGCTTTTGAAAATAATATGTGGCTAGTCACAAACTCATATTATATGAAACGTTATGATGAGATAACTATTAAATGAGGGGTGCTTATAGTATATACCATCAAAGTTTAAATGAGAAAATTTAGTACATGTGTCAGGCCAGGGAATTTTTAAGTGAAAATGTTAATTTTTAGGACTTGATGGGTTTCTTAAACATTGATTGGAATGGAGAATGTTATATTGCAATGCTTAATATGGAGTTGGCATTCAATAATATTTAATAATATAACTGATTTACTTTCAGTGTGCAGGAGCACAGAATTATGTGGAGAAAAAAAGAGCAGGGTAAGGCAGTGAAAAAGAACAGAAATACCTGGGAGGAATGACTTTGGTAGAAGTAAAGAAGTAGAAAAGGCAGGAAAACCCAGTAAGGAAAAGCCTGTAGAAGATCATAAATTGCCAGGCACATCAGTTATATATAGCCATTCATGGAGAAAGTGAAAGAGATAGGGAAGTGGTAAGAATGAAATGTTTTTTATTTTTTGAGATGGAGTCTCGCTCTGTCTCCCAGGCTGTAATGCAGTGGCGCGGTCTCGGCTCATGGCAACCTCCACCTGCGGGGTTCAAGTGATTCTCCTACCTCAGCCTCCCGGGTAGCTGGGATTACAGGCACACGATCACACCCTGCTAATTTTTGTATTTTTAGCAGAGACGGGGTTCCGCCATGTTGGCCAGGCTGGTGTCAAACTCCTGTCTTCAGGTGATCCGCCCGCCTCAGCCTCCCAAAGTGCTGGGATTACAGGCGCGAGCCACCATGCCTGGCCAGAATGAAGTTTTTTGTTCAGGAAATTGAAGTCATGGATCAGAGTTTTAGGACATATCTTTGCGAGCCCATATAGGTATAATATTGGGGGAAGAACTGAAAATTTAATTCATAGAGGAGAAGATTTTAACTGGTTATGTACTAGGTATAAAAAGAAGACTAAATATCTAAGAACCCTTACCCCATTTATTAGAAAACAGTTTATTGTTTATCAAATAACAGTAGCCTTGATATAAGAGCTATATAAGAAAGTATTCTTAAGCCATTTGATGTAGTTATTGAAATGCAGCATTGGCTGTTTGGGTATCACCTACCTGGTATGCAGTGCTGCCCCATAGAACTTTCTGTGAGTATGGGAATGTTCTATATCTGCACTGTTCAATAGGGCAGTCATGAGCCACATGTGCTTATTTAAAACTTGAAATATGGATAGCATAGCTAAATAATTGATTTTTTTAAATTTAAGTAATTTAAAGGTAAGTATATGTACCACATGTGGCTTGTGTTTACCCTGTTGGGCAGCATACATAGAAGATAACAAATATGAACTCAGATTGTAGGTCTTACTTCTGAAAGTCCAGTCTTTTTCTTTTGGTATATAAAATTAATGGGTAGAAGAAGAATGGATGCAGAAGGCTTCTACGTTTCAGAATACTTCAATGAGTTATAAAACATGAAACATTTATTAATTTACATATAGATTCTATGGATTTGGTGTTAACATTACCTGCTAATTTGTTGCACTATCAATCACTAGCTTTTGGCTCAAAGCTTTTTTTTTTTTTTTCCCAGTGGCCCCCAGGTCTTTTCTCACTTGAGGACCACTTTCTTCCTCATATTGTTCTGAATGTGGTACATAGCATGAGGATTTATCTTAAACCGGACTCAGCACAACTACAACTATAAGATGCCTAGTACATTATTACTTGCCTACGTCAGGGTTCCCCAACCTCTGGTCCTTGACCAGTACAAGTCTGTGGCCTGTCAGGAACCAGACCACACAGCAGGATGTGAGGGGTGGGTGAGCCAGCATCACCACCAGAGCTCTTTCTCCTGTCAGATCAGCAATGGTATTAGATTTTCATCAAACCCTGTAGTGCAATGTGCATGTGAGGGATCTAGATTGCACGCTGCTTATGAGAATCTAATGCCTGATGATCTGAGGTAGAAAAGTTTCAATGAAAAGCCATCACCACCACCCACCCACCATCCATGAAAAAATGTCTTCCACGAAACTAGTCCCTGGTGTCAAAAAGGTTGGGGACCACTTCTACGTTTTTCAATTATTGTCTTTATTTATCTGCTTGCAAACCTTTCCAGAGAACAAATGCAGAGTCATACTCCTCTACTTTGCCAGTAAAAAAGAAAGAATCTGGTTCCTGAACTGCTTCTTCAACTTGATGGCTGGGTTTACTCACTGCTATCTTTGCTACAGCATCTATCCCCAGAGAGATGCCAGCATGTTGATGATTATTAATTATTATTTGAAAAAGATCCTTAAGTAATTTCTTAATTATCTGTCAAAGAACAGTAACAGAAACAGTCATATTAACTGCAATAGCAACAAGGAAAACATCAACACAACCACATAAATTTTTTGCTTTGGGTTCTTAATTCCCAACATGCCAAATGAAACTTTCATATTGACTTTTACTTTTCCATTATACATCAGACAATTGGGTATAAATGTCTCTAGTTCTCTAATAAATGAGCAGGCCTAGAACTTAGTAGACTAATTTCAATATAATATTTTTTATTGACATCTGGGGTCTTTGACACTGTTGAAAATCTAAAACTCTATGCCAAGTCTAATAACTTTCCTAAACGACATTTCATGTTGTCTCATATGTTTAAAAAAAGGCACTGCTGTTACAAATAATGAACAGAAAGAACCCTTGACTGAGACTATATGGGGTGAGAGAGAAAAAAAATTCATTAAGGATGATAGTATTTTACATATATCCACTGTTATACCTGCATTTCAGTTTACCCATAAAGCCAAGAAGAATGCTTTGAGGACTACCGTAAGGATGACTCATCTTTCTCTGGGACAATTTTTGTGAGAATAAAGCATAGCAAGTTAGGAAGCAAAATATATCCCAATACTTTACTTTGATGCCATAAGAATTGAGAAGGCATGCATTTCCTTTTTTTTTTTTCTTTTTTTTTTTTTTACAATTTTGAAGTTCTGTTTTGTGACTACTGTCTTCACATGTATGGAACCTGATATGGTTTGACTGTGTCTCCATCCAAATCTCATCTTGAATTGTAGTTCCCATAATTCCCACATGTCATGGGAGGGACCTGGTGGGAGGTAATTGAATCATGGGGGTGGTTACCCACATGCTATTCTCATGATAGTGAGTGAGTTTTTATGAGATCTGATGGCTTTATAAGGGGTTTTTCCCCTTTTGCTCGGTACTTCTCCTTCCTGCTGCCATGTGAAGAAGGATGTGTTTGCTTCTCCTTACACTGTCGTTGTAAGTTTCCTGAGGCCTCTCCAGCCATGTGAAATGGTGAGTCAATTAAATATCTTTTTATTAAAAATTACCCAGTCTCAGGTGTGGCTTTAATAGCAGCAGGTAACAGACTAATACAGTAATTTAATACTGGGTAGTGAGGTGCTGCTGGAAAGACACCAAAAAATGTGGAAGCAACTTTGGAACTGGGTAACAGGCAGAGGTTAGAACAGTTTGGAGGACTCAGAAGAAGATGCAAAAATGTGTGAAAGTTTGGAACTTCCTAGAAACTTGTTGAATGGCTAAGACCAAAACACTGAAAGTGGTATGGACAATAAATTCCAGGCTGAGGTGGTCTCAGATGGAGATGAAGAACTTGTTGGGAACTGGAGTAAAGGTAACTCTTCTTATGCCTTAGCAAAGAGACTGGCTGAATTTTGCCCCTGCCCTAGAGATCTATGGAAATTTAAACTTGGGAGAAATGATTTAGGGTAACTGATGGAATAAATTCTAAGCAGCAAAGTGATCAAGAGGAAACAGAGAATAAAAGTTTGGAAAACTTGCATCCTGATGATGCAATAGAAAAGAAAAAAAAACATTTTCTGTGGAGAAATTTAAGCCTGCTACAGAAATTTGCATAAGTAACAAGGAGCCCCGTGTTAATCACCAAGACGATGCGGAAAATAGTTCCAGGTCATGTCAGAGACCTTTGTGACAGCCCCTCCCATCACAGGCCTGGAGATCTAAAAGAAAAAACTGGTTTTCTGGGCCAGGCGCAGGCCCTCGCTTCCCTGTGCAGCCTAGGGACTGGAAGTTCTGTGTCCCAGCCACTTCAGACATGGCTAAAAGGGCCCAAGGTACAGCTCAGGCCATGGTTTTGGAGGATGGAAGCCCAAGCCTTGGCAGCTTTCTTGTGTTGTTGAGCTGTAGGTGCACAGAAGTCAAGAACTGATGTTTGGGAACCTCTGCCTAGATTTAAGAGGATGTATGGAAATGCCTGGCTGTCCATGCAGAAATTTGCTGTGGGGCTGAGCCCTCATGGAGAACCTCTGCTAGGGTAGTGCAGAAGGAAAATGTGGGGTTGAAGCCCCCACACAGAGTCCCCACTGGAGTGCTGCCTAGTGGAGCTATGAGAAGAGGCCACTGTTCTCCAGAATTGTAGATTCCACTGACAGCTTGCACCATGTGTCTGGAAAAGCTGCAGTCACACAATGCCAGCCTGTGAAAGCAGTCTGGAGTGGGGCTGTACCCTGCAAAGTCACAGTTGTGTGTGGGAGCCCAAGACCATGGGAGCCCACCACCGAGGGAGCCCACCTGTTGCATCAGCGTTCCCTGGATGTGAAACATAGAAACATAGAGTTGAAGGAGATCATTTAAAAACTTTAAAGTTCAATTACTTCCCTATAGGATTTTGGACTTGCATGGGCCCTGTGGCTCCTTTGTTTTGGTAAATTTCTCCAATTAATAATGGGTGTATTTACCCAATGCCTATGCACCCACTGTATCTAGGAAATAACTAACTAACTTACTTTTTGATTTTATAGGATAATAGGTGGAAGGAACTGTCTTGTCTCAGATGAGAATTTGGACTTGGACTTTTGGGTTAATGCTGGAATGAGCTAAGACTTTGGGGAAACTGTTGTAAAGGCATTATTGTGTTCTGGAATGTGAGGACATGAATCTGGGATGGGCCAGTGGGGGAATAATATGGTTTTGCTCTGTCCCCAACCAAATCTAACCTTTAAATGTAGCTCCCATAATCCCCACATATGGTGGGAGGGGCCTGGTGGGCGGTAATTGAATCACGGGGGTGGCTTTTTTCCCATGCAGATCTCATGATAGTGAATATGTCTCATGAAATTTGATGGTTTTAAAAAGGGTAGCTCCCCTGCACACAGTCTTTTGCCTGCTGCCATGTAAGACAAGTGTTTCCTTCTCCTTTGCCTTCCACCATGATTGTGAGGCCTCCTCAGCCATGTGAAACTGTGAGTCCATTAAACCTCTTTTCCTTTTAAATTACCCAGTATTGGATATTCCCTCATAGCAGTATGAAAATGAAATAATAAACCATTACTAGTGCACCAAAGATGTCAGGGTAAAAACAAAAAAATCATGAATAGTGGCCTGGCAAGATGGCCAAATAGGAACAGCTCCAGTCTGCAGCTCCCAGTGAGATCAATGCAGAAGGTTGATGATTTCTGCATTTCCAACTGAGGTACCTGGCTCATCTTACTAGGAGTGGCTAGACAGTGGGTGCATCCCATGGAGGGCGAACAAAGCAGAGTGGGGCGTCACCTTACCTGGGAAGTGCAGGGGGTTGGGAAACTCCCTCCCCTGGCCAAGGGAAGCTGTGAGCGACTGTGCCATGAGGCACGGTGCACTCCAGCCCAGATACTACGACTCTCCCACTGTCTTCACAACCCACAGAAGAGGCGATTCCTTTGGGTGCCTACATCACAAGGGCCCTGGATTTCAAGCATAAAACTGGGCAGTTGTTTGGGCAGAGACTGAGCTAGCTGCAGGAGTTTTTTTCATACCCCAGTGGCACCTGAAATGCCAGCGAGACAGAACCATTTGCTCCCCTGGAAAGGGGGCTGAAGCCAGGGAGCCAAGCAGTCTAGCTCAGTGGGTACCACCCCAGTGGAGCTCAGCAAGCTAAGATCCCAGGCTTGAAATTCTCGCTGACAGCACAGCAATCTGAAGTCGACCTGGGATGCTCAAGCTTGGCTGGGGAGGAGTGCCTGCCATTACTGAGGCTTGAGTAGGCAGTTTTCCCCTCACAGTGTAAACAAAGCAGCTGGGAAGTTCAAAATGGGTGGAGCCTACCACAGCTCGGCAAAGCTGCTCTAGCCCAACTGCCTCTCTGGATTCCTCCTCTCTGGGCAGGGCATCTCTGAAAGAAAGGCCGCAGCCCCAGTCAGGCTCTTATAGATAAAACTCCCATCTCCCTGGGACAGAGCAGCTGGGAGAAGGGGCAACTGTGGGTGCAACTTCAGCAGACTTAAACATTCATGCCTGGTGTCTCTGAAGACAGCAGAAGATCTCCAAGCACAGTGCTCAAGCCCTGCTAAGGGACAGACTGCCTCCTCAAGTGGGTCCCTGACTGCTGTGTCTCCTGACTGGGAGACACCTCCTAGCAGGGGTCGACAGACTCCTCATACGGAAGAGCTCCAGCTGTCTCCTCATACAGAAGAGAAAGGAACAGGCAGCAATCTTTGCTGTTCTGCAGCTTCTGCTGGTGATACCCAGGCAAACAAGTTCTGGAGTGGACCTCCAGCAAACTCCAGCAGACCTGCAGCAGAGGGGCCTGACTGTTAGAAGGAAAACTAACAAACAGAAAGGAATAGCATCAACATCAACAAAAAGGATGTCCACACAAAAAAAGCATCCAAAGTTCACCAATGTCAAAGACCAAAGGTAGGTAAATTGAAGAAGATGAGGAAAAACCAGTGCAAAAAGGCTGAAAATTCCCAAAACCAGAAAGTCTCTTTTCCTCCAAAGGATCACAACTCCTTGCCATCAAGGGAACAAAATAGGACAGAGAATGAGTTTGACTAATTGACAGAAGTAGGCTTCAGAAGGTAGGTAATAACAAACTCCTCCGAGCTGAAGAAGCATATTCTAACCCAATGCAAGGAAATTAGGAACCTAGAAAAAAGGTTAGAGGAATTGCTAACTAGAATAACAAGTTTAGAGAAGAACATAAATGACCTGATGGAGCTGAAAAACAGAGCACAAGAACTTCGTGAAGCATACACAAGTATCAATAGCTGAATTGATCAAGTGGAAGAAAGGATATCAGAGATTGAGGATCAACTTAATGAAATAAAGCATGAAATCAAGATTACAAAAAATGAAGAGGGAAAAACAAAGTCTCCAAGAAATATGGGACTATGTGAAAAGACCAAACCTACATTTAATTGGTGGACCTGGAAGTGATGAGCAGAATGGTACTAAGTTGGAAAACACTCTTCAGGATATTATCCAGGAGAACTTCCCTAACCTAGCAAGACAGGCCAACATTCAAATTCAGGAAATACAGAGAATACCACAAAGATACTCATTGAGAAGAGCAAAACCAAGACACATAATTGTCAGACTCCCCAAGGTAGAGATGAAGGAAAAAATGTTAAGGGCAGCCAGAGAGAAAGGTTGGGTTACCAATAAAGGGAAGCCCATAAGACTAACAGTGGATCTCTCTGCAGAAACCTTACAAGTCAGAATAGAGTGGGGGCCAATATTCAACATTCTTAAAGAAAAGAATTTTCAACCCAGAATTTCATATCCAGCTAAACTAAGCTTCATAAGTGAAAGAGAAATAAAATCCTTTACAGATAAGCAAATGCTGAGAGATTTTGTCACCACCAGGCCTACCTTACAAGAGCTCCTGAAGGAACCACTAAATATGGAAAGGAAAAACCGGTTCCACCCACTGCAAAAACATAATAAATTGTAAAGACCATGAACACTATGAAGCAACTGCATCAACTAACGGGCAAAATAACCAGCTAGCATCATAATGACAGGATCACATTCACACATAACAATATTAACCTTAAAGGTAAATGGGCTAAATGCCCCAATTAAAAGACACCAACTGGCAAATTGGAAAGAGTCAAGACCTATTGGTGTGCTGTATTCAGAAGACCCATCTCACATGCAAAGACACACATATAGGCTCAAAATAAAGGGATGGAGGAATATTTACCAAGCAAAAGTAGGGGTTGCAATCCTACTCTCTGATGAAACAGACTTTAAACCAACAAAGATTAAAAAAGACAAAGAAGGGCATTACATAATGGTAAAGGGGTCAATGCAACAAGAAGAGCTAACTATTCTAAGTATATATGCACCCAATACAGGAGCGCCCAGATTCATAAAACAAGTTATTAGAGACCTACAAAGAGACTTAGACTCCCACACAATAATAGTAGGAGACTTTAACACCTTACTGTCATTATTAGACAGATCAACAAGGCAGAAAATTCACATGGATATTTAGGACTTGAACTCACCTCTGGACCATGTGGACCTAATAAACATGTACAGAACTTTCCATTCCAAATCAACAGAATATACATTCTTCTCAGCACCACATAGCACTTATTCTAGAATTAACCACATAATTGGAAGTAAAACACTCCTCAGCAAATGCAAAAGAATGGAAATCATAACAAACAGTCTCTCAGACCACAGTGCAATCAAGTTAGAACTCAGGATTAAGAAACTCACTAAAACTCACACAACAACATGGCAACTGAACAACCTGCTCTTGAATGACTACAGGGTAAATAACGAAATTAAGGCAGAAATAAATAAGTTATTTGAAACCAATGAGAACAAAGACACAACATACCAGAATCTCTGGGACACAGCTAAAGCAGTATTTAGAGGGAAATTTATAGCACTAAATGCCCACTGGAGAAAGCAGGAAAGATCTAAAATCGGCACCCTAACATCACAATTAAAAGAACTAGAGAAGCAAGAGCAAAAAAATTCAAAAGCTAGCAGAAAACAAGACATAACTAAATTCAGAGAAGAGCTGAAGGAGATAGAGAAATGTAAACCCCTTTAAAAAAATCAATGAATCCAGGAGCTGCTTTTCTGAAAAGATTAACAAAATAGATAGACCACTAACCAGACTAATAAAGAAGAAAAGAGAGAAGAATCAAATAACCACAATAAAAAATGATAAAGGGGAGATCACCACTGATCCCACAGAAATACAAACTACCATCAGAGAATACTGTAAACACCTCTATGCTAATAAATTAGAAAATCTAGAAGAAATGGATAAATTCCTGGACACATCCACCCTCCCAAGACTAAAATAGGAAGAAGTTGAATCCCTGAATAGACCAATAACAAGTTCTGAAATTGAGGCAGTAATTAATAGATTATCAACCTAAAAAAGCTTGGGACCAGATGGATGCACAGCTGAATTCTACCAGTGGTACAAAGAGGAGCTGCTACCATTCCTTCTGAAACTATTCCCAACCATACAAAAAGAGGGACTCCTCCCTAACTCATTTGAGGAGGCCAGCATCATCCTGCTACCTAAAGCTGGCAGAGACACAACAACAAAAAAAAGAAAATTTCAGGCCAATATCCCTAATGAACATTGAAAGCGAAAATCCTCAATAAAATACTGGCAAACTGAATCCAGCAGGACATCAAAAAGCTAATCCCCCATGATCAAGTTGGCTTCATTCATTGGATGCAAGGCTTCTTCAAAATATGTAAATCAATAAGCATAATCAATCACATAAAGAGAACCAATGACAAAAACCACATGATTATCTCAATAGACGCACAAAAGGCCTTCAATAGAATTCAATATCCCTTCATGCTAAAAACTCTCAATAAACTACGTATTGATGAAACATCTCAAAATAATAAGAGATATTTATGAAAAACTCACAGCTAATGTCAGACTGAATGGGCAAAAGCTGGAAGCATTCTTTTTGAAAACCGGCTCAAGACAAGGATGTCCTTTCTCACCACCCCTATTCAACATAGTATTGGAAGTTCTGGCCAGGGCAATCAGGCAAGAGAAAGAAATAAAGAGAATTCAAATAGGAGGAAAGGAAGTCAAATTGTCTCTGTTTGCAGATGACATAGTTGTATATTTCGAAAACCCCATCGTCTCAGCCCCAAATCATCTTAAGCTGATAAGCAACTTCAGCAAAGTCTCAGGATACAAAATCACTGTGCAAAATCACAAGCTTTCCTCTACACAGATAATAGACAAGCAGAGAGCGAAATCATGAGTGAACTCCCATCATAATCGATACAAAGAAAATAAAATACCTAGGAATAAAACTTACAAGGGATGTGAAGGACCTCTTCAAGGAGAACTAGAAACCATTGCTAAAGGAAATAAGAGAGGACAAAAACAAATGGAAAAACGTTCCATGCTCATGCATAGGAAGAATCAATATTGTGAAAATGGCCATAGTGCCCAAAGTAATGTATAGATTCAATGCTATCCCCAACAAGCTACCATTGACTTTCTTCATAGAATTAGAAAAAAAACTACTTTAAATTTCATATAGAACCAAAAAAGACCCCGTATAGACAAGACAATCCTAAGCAAAAAGAACAAGGCTGGAGGCATCATGCTACCTGACTTCAAAATATATTTACAAGGCTACAGTAACCAAAACAGCATGGTACTGGTACCAAAACAGATATATAGACCAATGGAATAAAACAGAGGCCTCAGAAATAACACCACACATCTACAACCATCTGATCTTCAACAAACCTGACAAAAACAAGCAATGCAGAAATGATTCCCTATTTAATAAATGGTGCTGAGAACACTGGGTAGCCATATGCAGCAAACAGAAACCTGTCCCCTTCCTTACACCTTATACAAAAATTAACTCAAGATGGATTCAAGAATTAAACATAAAACCTAAAACCATAAAAACCCTAGAAGGGAACCTAGGCAATACCATTCAGGACATAGGCATGGGCAAAGACTTCATGACTATAACAAAAAAAGCAATGACAACAAAAGCCGAAATTGACAAATTGGATCTAATTAAACTAAAGAGCTTATGCATAGCAAAAGAAACTATCATCAGAGTGAACTGGCAGCCTACAGAAGGGGGGAAATTTTTGCAATCTATCCATCTGACAAAGGGCTAATATCCAGAATCTATAAGGAACTTAAACAAATTTATAAGAAAAAAACAAACAACTCTATCAAAAAGTGGGCAAAGTACGTGAACAGACACTTCTTAATAGAAGACATTTATGTGGCCAAGAAATATATGAAAAAATGCTCATCATCACTGGTCATTAGAGAAATCCAAATCAAAACCATAATAGTCGTTAGAGAAATGCAAATCAAAACCATAATCAAAACCATAACCAGACACCATCTCATGCTAGTTAGAATGGTGATCATTAAAAAGTAAGGAAACAACAGATGCTGTCAAGGATGTGGAGAAATAGGAACACCTTTATGCTGTTGATGTGAGTGTAAATTAGTTCAACCGTAGTGGAAGACAGTGTGGCGATTTCTAAAGGATCTAGAACCAGAAATACCATTTGACCCTGCAGTCCCATTACTGGGTATATACTTAAAGGATTATAAATCATTCTACAATAAAGACATATGCACACGTATTTTTTTTTTGCAGCACTATTCACAATTGCAAAGACTTGGAACCAACCCAAATGCTCATCAATGATAAACTGGATAAAGAAAATGTGGTACATATACACCATGGAATACTATGCAGCCATAAAAAGGGATGAGTTCATGTCCTTTGCAGGGACATGGATGAAGCTGGGGACTATCATTTTCAGCAAACTAACACAGGAACAGAAAACCAAACACTGCATGTTCTCACTCGTAAGTGGGAGTTGAACAATGTGAACACATGTACACAGGGAGGGGAACATCACACACCAGGGCCTATCGGGGGATGAGGGGCTAGGGGAGCGATAGTATTAGGAGAAATACCTAATATAGATGATGGTTTGATGGGTGCAGCAAACCACCATGGCATGTGTACATCATGGCACATGCAAGGCTCCTACTGGCCATTTGTTTCATTTCTAGCTTTGATGTCTGGGCACCAATTTCCCTAGCTTTAACTATTTGCTAAATGTTAAGGCAGTGCTGTGGAAATTTGTGTAACTGGGGTGCTATGCAGTCCTGTCCATGTGATTGGCAGGGAGATTGCCTGCCACAAAATGACAGGTATTCTTGGCAACTGGCAGAAGCTAGGAGAGAAGCATGGGCCATATTCTCCCTCAGAACTTCAGAAGCCAACTCTGCTGACATCTGGATTTTGCACTTCTACCCACCAGAGCTGTGCTGATAATTTCAGTTGTCTTAAACCACCCAGTTTGTGAACATTTGTTACAGCAGCCATAGAAAACTAATAATCAGCATCTACTTTTGGCAAGAGAAAATGAGTATGTGTAATCTGCAATTTTGCCACTTTTAAATACTTGGATTTTTGATGAGTAACTTACTTAAATTTACCTGTAATTTAAATGTATTTTATTTTTGAGGTTGAGCATTGTCTCATAAGTTTAAGAGTTTTTATTTTCTTCTTTTGCATTTTTTACATATTTAGCTGACTTTCACTAATTTTGTCTTCTAGATATTGAAGAACAGTATTAAGGTTTATCTTTGTGTATAAATTGCAAATCTCCTCTTTTGGCTCTTTTGCCTTTTTAATTTTGTTTATGATAAAAATATCCTTCCACATCGTAAAGTTTTATTCAAATTTACTTATTTTTACTTGTATTGATTTTGTATTTTATATTTTACATAATATTTAGGATGCTTCCCATCATTTCTGGATTATAATGGAATTTACATGTATTTTTCTAGCACATATATTATTTCAGTGTCTACATTTACATCTCTGATCTGTATCCCACAATGTGATGTAAAGTTTAGATTGAATTATATACATTTTCCAAATGAATTTTTAAGGATCTAACAATTCCTTATTAAAAATACCATTCATCACCTGATTTGAGTTGCTATATTTATTACTAAATTTTTATGCACGCACATATCTCTTCATGTTCTTTTGTATTGCTTTGTTTAGTCACTGATGCCACAGTGCTTTAAATATATAAAATTATAATATATTGTAACATTGCTTTGGGGTATTTTTATTGGAATTTCACTGTTCATTAATTCCTGGTTCTTGAATCTTATTTATTTTCCTATAAGAATTAATAATGTGTCTACTTGCAGGAAAAAAATAATTGATTATTTGATAAAAATCACATTATATTTACATATCAACTTAAGTGGAATTGACATATTTTTCACATTGAACTTTTCTATTAAAAATGTGAAATACTTTTTTATTTGTTCAATTCTGTTTTGCATCTTTAAAATGTCTTAAAGATTTCTTCATACAATATTTAGGAAATTTATATGAAGTTTTTAATTATTTTATAAATAAGAATTACACATTTTACCTTGTAACTTTTTAAAAAAATGAAACAAGCTTAGTTTTAGTTTAGTACATATGCAGTCTATTAAAGCATTAATTTACTAGATTCTGCTATTTGCAGTAGCTTTTTATTAGATCCTCTTGGACATTTCAAATATATAATCATAACATCAGCAAATGTAGTTTTGTCTTTTTCTTTCTACTTTTTGAACATATTGTTGCTCTCTCTTACCTAGTTACATTGAAAATATGCTCAATTGTAGAAGTAACAGTGGGTTTCTCTTTCTTTCTCCTAACCTTAGGAGAAATGCTTCCAATGTGTATCCAGTAAGTAAAATCTGATTTTTGGACTAATATTTACTTTTAAACCTATTATATAAATTTCTATTTATTCTTGTTTTATTAGTAGGAATGGGTTTTGATTTTTGCAAAATGCCTTTTCAGCATCTATGATGCTTTTCTTCATAGATGTATTTAGAGAATGAATTATATTAATGGATGTTCTTCTTGAATCATACTTGCATTCTTGAAAGGAACCCCACTGGTTGACAATGTATTTATTTATTCACTGTTATATATTCTATCTGCAAATTCACATTAAACATTTTTATTGATATTTATAACATCTTTATTTCAGTGTTTATTAGGTTTCATAATGATGTAGTCATTTTATAAAAGGAATTTTGAAAGTTTCTCCTTTTCATGCTGTGTAAGTTTTAGAATCACTGTGACTAGGTGATTTTGGAACACCTGAAAGAATCCTTCTGTGAAAAAAGTCTTGGCCAGGATATTATTATCATCATTATTATTTGTAGAGACAGGGTTTTGATATATTAATAGTCCAGGCTGGTCTTGAACTCCTGGCCTCAAGTAATCCTCTCATCTTGATCCCACAGAGAGCTTGGATTACAGGCATGAGCCACCATGTCTGGTGAGGACATAATTTTTCAGTTTGTTTGTTTTTTTATGTGGATAGAAAGTTCATTCACACATTTCTTTAATTGTCCCTTTAAATTGCTCTATTTAGATTTTTCCCTCTTATTTGAGGTTTTGAATTTTCTTGTTAACAAGAATTTTGTGATCTGTTCTCCCACGCAGCTATCTGAATCTTCTGTTTCTCTTGACCCCACCCTTCTTGCTATGCTCAATTTGGTTTCTAATTTCAGTATATTTCATCATGAGTAGTCTCTGTCATTTCAAAATAGCATCTGATGAACAGTTCTGAGAGTCATAAGAACTTAAACCAACACAATTTTGTATATTATTCTATATATTCTTCTATATCCATGCATGTAGTTCTTTTGTACTCACCAGAAACTTAAAATCTGTAGATTTTCTTAGTCTTACTGATTGATTTTTAAGTCCCTCACCCAGGTTTGTATGCATAATGGAGTCCTTTATTTAGGGATGTATCTGTTGGCATTATTTTAGTTTATAGAATTCGTCTAGAACTTTCTTCCACTTTTCCCTCATTCCCCAATACACGGCCCTTGATCTCAGGATGACCACGTGGCCCATGTTCAGAAGTTCATCAGGATTTCTTCCTTACAAGTTTTATTGAGGATACCATCTTCATGTTGTGTGTTTCTTTTTTTCCCTTTCCCGATTGGTTTATTTCATTTTCTGGGAAATTTTGTGAAAATTCAAAAACCATGCTTTGTTTTTCATTATTCTTCTGGAAGACTCATGTATTTTTTTAAAAGTAAGAAAAATAAGAAGACTGCCATTGTGATTATTTTGGGGGAAAGTAAGAAACCTGAGAAGACAGTGGAAGCATATCAGTCATCTCAATGCACCTAAGAGTGAGAGGGCAAAGATGGGCACAAGGATACACTGGTCACAGAGAATAAAGAAGAAAAAAATGCCTAAGTAACTGAGAGCTACAGAAATAAAAAAAAAAAATGGTAAGACTAGAGTGATCCTCTTGAGATTATGAAGTTTCCCCATGGATGCAACTCTTAGCAGTGTCCATTCCCCAACAATCATGGACATTAAAATGAGCATTGGTAGAGTATTTTTGAACCATGATCCAAGTCACATGATCCGACTTAGCATCATACCCATCAATTATCATTGAAATCATACATTGACTATATCACAGATTTATTCTTTTTTGTCTAATTTCATTAAGGCCTCTGGGCCGACATTATTGCATTCGTTTGAAAACAGTGCCTTGATCTCACTAGGATTTTTTGCATTTAATGATTTTGTTTGGAGATGCCTTGGAGCTTCTGTCAAATAACCAGTTTACTGATTGAGAGGGAGAGCTAATTTTTTCATAGGGTTGGCTTAGATGTTGGTTTTGTTTAGCAGCCCTTGCTACCTTGTCTATTTTTTATCTTTATTTTCTACTACTCACTTAGTGAAACTTTTCTCTATAAGCATAATAGATTATGTATATATATGTTTTGCTACACTTTGTAGGACTACACAGAGAGAAAATTTCTGTGTAATAGATTCTCTCTCTTCCTTTTTGTTTGTAATAGATTATTTTCTATTTCTCTTTTGTGAGGGAAAACTGGCAAAGCTTTTCCTTTGCCAGGAAATTGTGGAGAAGAGAGAAAAAATGGCAGAATTAGTAACTTCTCTCACTATAACATATGCCTTCAGGACATCCTCTTGCCAAAGAGCTTGGAACCAAGTTAGCTATTATTACTGTACTCAAGGGACCTCAAAATTTCTAATCATGATGCTAGTAGCTAAAGTTACATTATCTGATATCCCACACAGAAAGGCTCTGATCAAAGGCAGAGCAACACAAATGACAAAAGAAAAAAATCAGAAATAAAATTCAAATGTTATTTCTGGAAGGTAAAATGAATTCTCACACAAAACCACAAAATGAGCCCAGTGCACAAATTGGATGGCTAAACTTTCTTTGAGCTTGGTGGCTATGATCCAAATGATTTCCAAAATTTAAAGGAAATCACTGCCAGATCCCTTGAATTTTCTCAAGCATTCCAATTTCAATCATGAGCTAGTTTAGCTAGAAGTCAGATTCTTCCCAAGTTCACTTGAAGACTTCTTGGCTACAAGTTCAGACGTTCTGGCCAAAACTAAAACTGAATAGGAAAGTTTACATTTTTTCTGTATTTCAATTATAGTCTTTGCCACTTACTTCTACTTGAAATGGATGATGAAAATCATATGACTGTTAATAAATTTGAGGTAATTTTCTATTCATTTTATTATGTACTTTTAAAAATAATTTGTTTCAAGTGACTTCTATCATAAACAACTAAATAGAGTTCATGAGACAATCTTAATTCTGATTAATCTCAGTTTAGGTACTTACTGATTTTATTTCAATAAAATTGTCAAGAGATTCTTTATCAAAGGGGAGTATGCCATTTATGGTGAATGAAAATGCCATGCCCATAGACACAAATTTTCTCAAGCCTTCCAATTTCATCATTAACTAGTTTAGCTGGAAGTCAGTTTCTTCTCAAGTAAGAATGTATTCCCACATATGTATCATAACTTTTTCTTCTCATATATTCCCCCAAATTGCATGTATTCTTAAGAAAAAAAGTATATATATATTTGAGAAGAAATTTTAAAATTATCATTTAAATTTTAATTATTACAAGTGGAAAAATATTATTTAAAATGATTACATAATTTTTGTATTTTTCATATTTTTATATTCATCATATTTTTTTATATTCATCAATCTAGAAAATCAGTCTAAATTGTACATTTTTTGGAATTCCAAAGTTAGTGCCATACACATCAATTATCACTGAAATCATATATTAAGAATTTTAAGTATTAAGTTTGAAATGCTTACCCATTTCTTATGCAACAGCATTGAATATTCCAAACTGCTAAACTAAATAAGTAGCTCAGTGTTTTGTTTTGTTTTTTATAAACTGGGGTTGAGACCCTTGCTATTCAGCTGCTGAGGTTATCATTGTGCTGAATCCAGTGATTCCAAAACCTGAGTAGATTTCAGGAGATTTAATATAGATTTTGTGCTGCTGTACCTTAGCCACTAAAAGGGCCAAGCCAGATATTTAATACAAATGCTTAAAATATTAAGGAATATAAAAAGTTCTAAATGATAATAATGAGTATCATTTCATTTCTCTTAACAAAAGTGGAAAAGCAGTTGTTTTTGTTTTTACTTTTCTTGGTAGACTAAATTATGTTTTAACTCTCTTCTAAGGGCAACAGTATTGCTGAAAAGCATTACTGAACTTGCAGCCAGTTAGAACATTTCAATTTAATTCCAGGTTGCATGGCATTGAATAGTTGAGTTAAGCTCTTTGAGTCTTTGGTTTATTTCACATGTGAAATCCTACAAAGCACAGCCCCTATTATTAACAAAAATATTTTAATGCATGCCTGACAGCATTAATATTTTATAAGCCACATCTAAGTGCTAATTGCCCATGTGTCCTATTAGCAAAACTTTTATTATTATTGATACCAAAACCATTAGTGAAACATTAATTCCTTTTTTCAAATGTCTGGAGTTTTATATCAGAATTTTTTCTGGAGATAATATTTCTTATGCCTATGATAAAATTTATGTACTGAACATTTCCCAATGTTTAGTAAACTGGAAGAAGGGTCCACTTTTAGAATTATTGGGGAAATAGGTTAGACAAACAGAAATAAAAACATTTCTATATCATGGCTGTTGAGCTAAGAGGTAGGCAAATATTAGTTTAAAATTGCTTTTACAAAAAGGAACAAGTTTAAAAAAATCCTTTACACTCCCCTATCTTATAGTCTAATTTAAATTATACCTAGTGTGGAATCAGAAGAAGAAATTTCAAAACTGGTTTTTACTGTATTTTCAGAAATCATACTTAAATTTTGTAAGCCCCTTATTTTCTGTCTACTTATGTGTAAGTTATTACGTTGTGGACATGTTAGAAACTGTAGATGAAATAAAATTTTTATATTGGCTTTGAAAAAGATAAATGACCACAAAGGTAGGATTTTATTATTACATATTCATATTAAACTTTAAAACACTTAACAACTTGTATTTTTACAAAAAAATCAGGAAAATGCTTTTTCATACAAAAAGACAATATGTTTTAATGCATAGAATGTGGCTTGCATACCCTTATTCCTGTTATCAAAAATGTATTGGGGAAAAATTAACACAAATGGGAAGAAAGCAAGCAAGTAAGCAAGCAAAACTCAGTGGGGCAGCATTGTTAGCTAAACTTCTGATTTTTTTTATTGCTGACAATGGTGATGACAGCTCACCTGAAAAAAGTGTCAAGAGAAATAAAACCTTAATGAGAAATTACTTAGTAATTTCATTGTGATTCGACAAGCATTCCATGTTGTAAAGAAAACTTTAAGAAACACAATAGCAAATTTAAGAGAGTTGTACCAATTAGAGGTTTTAAACTAAAGGAAAATCATTTAAATGAGATTTAAAGATGGACAAGAAATCAGTTAAGGGAACAATGAACAGATCTTAAAACGTTTTCTTTCAGAAAGAGAATGTTCTGATTACTGCCTTTGTGAGGTTAAGAAATGCAAAATTAAGATAAGATGGCCTTTCACAACCTGTCAATAAAAGTACATAGATATATCTCGGTAGCATCACCAATAGGTACAGTATTTTGTAGTCTCAGAGATATGAAGTATGCTGTATTTTTCATTTCAATGCCAAGGTTTAGTACAAAGGCTGGCACAAACAACCACCTCCCTAAATGACTAATGAATAAATAAATTGGGCATTATTTAATCATATTGAAGCTAGTATTGCCACAGATCCTTGGCTAGTGGAAAGTGGCTCCACTCTGCCCTAAAAATCATGAGTGTTCTCCTAGCAGACTAGCTTCTAAGTGGTAAGACTTCCAAGGCAAGGTAGACATTCCATGACTCAGCAGGTCAGCAGAGGGGAGCAGGGCTTCCTACATGAGGCTGTACAGAACCATGCCTCAGCCCCTCTGCTACTGTTCACTACCCTGAACACTTGTGCTCCCTGAGGAGACAATCAGCATTTACTTTGCACGTGGGGGAAAAAGTGATTTATCTAGTGGTCCTAAAATTCTCCTTGAGAAAACTCTAGGTTTGGTAAGTTTCTTCTTATATGAAAGAAAGATCACCCAGCAGGGACTCCTAAAGAAAGTAAAGTGGGACTACCTGAAAAGCGAAGAAGGTGGGGCCTTACTAAATAGTAATTTTAGGTGGTTTTCATGCAAATATGATGTATTTGTACCCATATGGTGTTAGAAAGTTACATTTTATTCCACAGATGACCAACTTCTTGTTAAATTAAATTTGGCCTGAGGCAGGCTGCATACTTTGAGTCCCTGTGTAGTGAATTGCAACCTAACTTACTATGTAAACAAACTGAAAGCCTAAGAGTATGTCCTTGAAACAAACAATGGGGTTTTAGCCAATCACAAGTAGCTGGGTTTCAGTCTTTCACAGGCAGTCAATTCATCACACCATGTCCAAAAAAGGCAGATGCCTAGCTATAGCCAATCAAGTAATTTTTCTACTTTGCCTCTGTGTCTGGCCTATATAAGCTTGCTGCTTGCACTGCTGGGTAGAGCTCTTTGAACTTCTACTGGTTCAGGACGCTGGCTGACTTATGAATCATTCTTTGCTCAGTTAAGCTCTTTTAAAGCTAATCTGTCTAAAGTGTTCGTTTGTTTGTTTTGGTTGGCTTTGTTTCTTGCCATTCCCTTTTGTAAAGTAAATAAATAAACAAGTGATTAGTAAAGCCAAAAACAAACAAACAAACAAACAGGACTTTGGGTTTTTATTTGGTAAAAAAAAAATAATTGTTTACATTAATAAGTCAGTGATAGAGGAAATCAATGCCTATTTATTTCTCAATATGCTAGGGTCACAAAACGAAATGGAAATGTAATGCTATGCCCAAACAAAACGACTATTTTTCATGGTTTCATATATTGGTGTTCACTATGTTATAGATAATTAAAGAAGATTCACAATATTGGCCATTGTAAGTAGCTACTTGTCTATGTTTCATCTCAGATGCCCTGTCATTTAATCATGAAAATACTCTGAGAAAATATTAAACCTATTTCATTTTATAAATTAGGAAACTGAGTCCCAAGCAGTATATGTAGCTTTAACTATAATGTTTGTAAAGATAAATCATGTTTCCTCTTGCATCAATTATCCCCAGCACATGTTATTTTCTTTAGTCCCTGGAAGGCACTTAGAAGATAATTGTTAAATGGGTGGATAAGAGAACAAACTTGATGGATGACTAGCTTGTTATGTTAGATTCAAATAAATCTCTAACTTCACAGTCCACATTTCTAACAGAAGGAAAGCAACAGATTCTTTTGGTTTTATAGGCAATTCTATTTAAATTAAAACTCAGTTAAAAAATAATAACAGTTTCTCAAGAAAGAATATTTCCTTATCATGAAGGATTGGAGGCAGACAACTAAGGTTGAGAGACCTGTCTACATACTTACTTCTATTCATATAATCCTTTTCTTGGCTATTTTTATTCAGTTATTCAATTATTCATCAGGCATTTATTGAGGGCTTCCTATGTGCCAGATCTCTTACAGGGACTCAGGATGCAGTGGTGAAAAAAAAAGAGTCCCTGTCCTCAAATTACTCATATTCTTCAATTCGTGTACTCTGACCTAAACATTTAATTCAATATAAATTCATGAATGTTGCTTATCTCTTGTGAATCTCATTTTCCCCATTTGTAAAATGGAGAGAATAAAACTTCCTCACAAAGCTTCTGTGCATATAGTATATAAAAGATGTAGGAAACTATAAAACTTGAAGAAACAATGGCTGTTGAATTGTAAGCTGTACAGCAGGCTGCCACAGATATTATCTTGTTAAATTCTAATTTAATGTACTAATAGGATTACGATAATATTCGGATTATAAAGCAATATGGTCAGGAAGACCACAATTAAAGTCCCTGAACTGATATTATTGGCTATTTGACCTTGAAAAATATATTACCCTTTTTGACATAAATTTCTTCTCCTGCAGAGTGAAAGTTTCATTCTACTTTGTAAGATTGTTATAAGGATAATTGATAATCTATGCAAATTGCTTACTCACTGAACAGTAACTATTATAAGTGCTCAAAGTTGATAGATATGAGAAATTACAATTCGATGGAACAATCAGAAATCTCTTAGCCTACTAGTAAGAGCATAGTTTAGTACATCTATTCTGGAAATGTTTTGGGAACATCTTCTAAAACTGATTATATGCATGTCACATGGCATGTAAATTGCACTGCATGCAAGTTCACTAGAAGATATGTTCTAGGATGATTATATCAGCACTCTTCATAGTGGATCAAACCCAGAAACTACCTTAGTGCCCATCATTGGTTGAATAACTGTTCACACAAGAAAATGCTATGCAAAAATATGAATGAATGATTTACGACACAATAAAATAAATGAATCTCAGAAACAACATTTAGTGAAAGCAGGAGATATAACCCCCGCTATGTCAAAGATAGTCTCCCTATACCAGGAAGAAAGTAATATTCTCATTGTCAAGAATAGGAAGTGAAAACCTAGAGAAGTTTCTGCAAACAAATCCTGTTAAACTAATTTTTATCTCCCTAGTAGCTCAATTAGCTATCCTAACTTTACTTAACTGACTACCCTGGCCTCTGCATCTTTGCCTTTTCAAGCTTTTACAATTCATTACACTTTATAGTGTAAAACTGTAAAATGTGGATATACTATAACAGCATTTGACTCTAATTGCTTCTTTGTGTCTTTATTTGCTTAGGAGGGCTCCTGTATCACATAAAATTTATATTAAATAAATTTGCGTGATTTTACGCTGTTGCTATGTTTCATATCAGTTTAATTCTCAGGCCCAGTGGAAAGTCCTAAGAAGGTAAATGTAATATTTTTCTTCACCTACAATGTCATTACTGCAAACTACAAAGCCAGGGTAAATGAATTAATGTTTTTAGAAATTGAAGCAGTGGTTACCTTTAATGGGGCTGGGGCATGGTGATTGGAAGGAAATATGAAGAGGGCTTTTGGGGTTTTGGATATTTTGTCTCCTTATTTGGGTGGTAGTTACAGAAGTATGTTCATGTTTATGAAAATTTAAAGTTACCCACCTGGGCATTTTTCTACAGGTACATTTTACTTTAATAAAAAGTCAGAAATTATGCGTGTTTACCAATGTCAGTTTTCATTTTTAATTTTAAAAATATAGAACATTTATATAGAGTCTATAGTTCTTAGAAATATTTAAATTGATTGATTTATTTTTCACTATAGCTAAAATGCAGATCTGGGAGACACGTGTCTCATACCTGAAGTCTTCTTCGGTCTGGTTTTCAAGGCAAATTTCTAATAAGTTTCTTCCACATTCCAAAAGGCTATGTCAAAGATCTTTCAAAACAAGAATGCCATTACTTGACATGGACATGAATACCAAGTGGCCTTATAACAACTGGGCTTTTAAAAAAGTACATGGGAGAATCTGTCATGAGCAAAGCAGTAGCTGTTTTTTTTTAAGTTTCTTCTCTTGCCAATTTTGCAGAAGAGCAAACAAAAATCACTCATCACACACTGCAATTGCTACATTTGTAACATTTATTTATGGGCATTGGTATTTACAGTTCCTATTGGAGGATAATGTGCATAACAGCACTGTGTAATTTTCTGTACTGTATTTTAGGATGCTCAATTCTATCATTCCTAATTTGAGTCCAAACCACATAAATGAAAGTCTTTGCTGTCATGGGGAATAGAAGGAAGGAAGGAAAGAAAAAAATGATGGAAGAAGAGCCCATCACTGTGAGGTTTTGAAGTAGGTCATATTAAATGACATTTCAAATATTTTCAAATTTTTCAACTTTGAAAAACAGGATAATCCCTCACTATCAAATTTAGAGGGATATTATCATGAATACATTATATAGTATGTTGAAAATATTCTGCAATTTAACATATGTTATTCCTACTATATGTCTGACACTCTGGAATAAAAACATGAGTGAGGAATAGTTACTGACCTAACTTCTAGTCTAATGCAAGAGGTTGAGATATATAAATACAGTTTCAATATATTTACATGTCCAAGGAAAATCTAGAGGTTCTAAAAGGGGAGTACTGTAGGTGAAATATTCTCACCCAAGCATGATGGTAGTTGTATAACAACAATTAACCAAAAGGAAGTAGAAATATGATAGCATTTGATACTTTATCTAGGCACCAGCCTCACCCACACAAAAATCTATGAGATGGGTATTACTTTCTACCTGTTTGTTAATAATAAAACTAAGGCTTAGAGAGATTAAAGGCACACCCCCAATGTGTCACAATTTGTCAGTCAAACTCAGGCTGATGTGTTTCTAATTCTATGCAATGATTCCAGCCAAAAATAATTTACAACCTTAGAGGAAAGTAAATAGAGATATAACAGGAGACTAATTTAAAGAGAGCAGATGAATGCACCAACACAGGTAATTTTGTATAAAACAAATGTGTTTAAAACTCTACAGATTATAGAAGAAACACCTAGGTCTGCTTGGGTGTCTCAATAATTTTCAATATAAAAGTAAAACATATTTATATATACTGGAAGTCAGAATCTGTGGAACTCACAATCAAATGTGAAGAGCTTGTTCTGGCTGCCATATCAAAATACCATGGACTGGTGGCTTACGCAACAGTCATGTATTTTCTCATCACTCTGGAGTCTATAGGTCTGAGAGCAAGGTGTTCAGAGAGTGGATTTCTTCAGCAATCTGTTTCTTTGTTTTGTAGATCACTGGTATCTTCTTGTGTCTTTACGTGATCTTCCCTCTGTAAAGATATGTGTTCTAATAGCATAGTCTTATAAGGACACCAGTCATTTTGTATTAGGGCTAATCTTAATGACTTCATTTTAACTTAATTGCTCTTTAAATACCCTATCTCCAAATACAGTCATATTCTGAGGTACTGTTGTTCAGGATTTCAACATATGAATTTTGGGAGTACACAATTCAACTAGTGTAATGTTAGGATAAAAGGGGCGTTCCAGAAGGAAGAAGTTTTATCACTAAAGTCAAAGCAACATGAGAAAGACAGATGCATTCTGAAAACTGTGAATTCATGGTGATTGTGTATTGTGAAAAGGGGCTGTAGAGGTGAGTAGAGACCTACAATTTTTTTTTTTTTTTTTTTTTTTTTTGAGACAGAGTCTCGCACTGTCACCCAGGCTGGAGTATAATGGCGTGATCTCGGCTCACTGCAACCTCCGCCTCCTAGGTTCAAGTGATTCTCCTGCTTCAGCCTCCCGAGTAGCTGGGATTACAGGTGGATGCCACCACGCCTGGCTAATTTTTTATATCTTTAGTAGAGATGGGGATTCACTATGTTGGCCAGGCTGGTCTTGAACTCCTGACCTTATGATCTGCCTGCCTCGGCCTTCCAAAGTGCTGGGATTATAGGTGTGAGCCTAATATTAATGAGTTTTTTAGGATATTACAATGAGTTTGGATTTTTTTTCTTACCTTTTTTTTTTTGGAGGAAAGCTATGAAGACCATTGATGAGATAAGTGGTGGAATAATGCTTGCATGCAAGAGTTTATCCTGGTGGCAGTGCAGGTGATGTATTGGGAAAAAGGGAAAAATAAGAAAATAGTAGCAGAAAAGAGAACATTGCATTATGGTACAAGAGAAAAAAATGAGGCCCTCAATTAAATCAGTAGCAATGGAAAGAGATGAAAAAAATAAGAGACTAAGATGTATCTATAGGACATGATAATTGATTGGGCTCAAGCAGTGAGAATTAAGGAGTGAATTACTTATGTTTCTATGATTTCATTTCTCTTGTGTATTCTTCCATAATAATTTCATCTTTTAACTATGTTCTTTTGAATGGTACACATTGAAAACTGTCAGCTACATAAGGCAGGGTTTAGGACATAAGAAAAGCATTTGCTAAATAACCTGCAGGGTCAACAAACTAGCTATAGCAGAATTAGGAATAAAATAGAAAAATTTATATTTTATCATGTTCCATTTCTTCAAAGAAAGTTGATTATCAAAGTTGATTTTTGATTCCCTCTTCTGTATGCTTATTATAGCTCTCCCAATTATGTCCCTTTAGGGTTGCCAGATCAGATGCAAGATAGCCAGTTAAATTTAATTGCACCTAAGCCACAAAATTATTTTAAATGTATCTCAAATATTGCATCAGACATACTTATACTAAAATATTATTCATTCTTTGTTTGAAAGTGAAATTTAACTGAGTGTTCTGTATTTTTATTTGCTAAATCTGGCAATATTACCTCCCTCTTCTGTCACCTGCATAGCCAAAGTTAATTGTAGAAGTATTTCTACAACTAATATTGGCAGAATAGCTATTTTGGACGTGACTCTTTCACTGGTAATGACTAGAAACCTTGGACAAAATATTAAATAAAATGTGCTTGACTGTATCAGAGTTCACAAGGTAATAAATATTAACTGAGCCAGTGTCTCTATATCAGAGGCCTAGGGAGGCTACTTTACTCTGGGAACACTTGCTAATTTTCAGAAGGATGTTCTGAGAGTCTGACCACCACTTTTAAAACCTCAAAGAGCTGAGAGAACTCCTGCTGTGGTCCAGTACCTGCAGGAGGGTGGGCTTTAATAAAGTTCCTTTGGGATTGGAAAGCTAAAAGACTTTGGCGGAAGCAAATATAAATCCACACTGGAGGATGATAGCTCCATCTTGAGCATCAAATACATTTTCTTTTTTTAAATTTTACTTTAACTTCTGGTATAATGTGCAGAATACGCATGTTAGTTACATAGGTATACATGTGCCATGGTGGTTTGCTGCACCTATCAACCTGTCATCTATGTTTTAAGCCTTATATGTATTAAGTATTTGTTTCTATAAGCAGCTTTTAAAATAATTCTCAGTACACACAAAAAAGGAGAGAAATGAGAGAAAATGAGAAAGGAAAAATAAAAAGACACAGAGACCCACAGGTAATCTAGTTATTAGAAACATCAGCCACAGATGTTAAAATAATTATGTTTCTTGTGTTCAAGGTAAAAGAAAGAAATTTTTTTAAATATGGCAAAAATATGAGCCTATGAAACCTAAGAACATTCAACAAAGCCTACAAAGAAAAACTGCTGAGTGTGATTATATAAATATATTAATTTATTGTATCATTACATTATCATATTTTATTATTGAATTTTATTACTTAAAACAAAATGCTATTTTATTATTCTGTATTTTCTGACTCATCTTAAAATCTTATATAATTTTACCACCTGGAATTTTTTAATTTAAGAAGAATTTGGAGCAATATACCATAAATAAAAATAAAACACAAACCTAACATTTTTGGAAAATGTAGTAGTTCCTGTGGATATAAACATAAATTAGTGGACTTGATGAAAGAAGGAGAAAAAAGTCCACATGAGAATTTGTTGCATATGATAAAAAGTATTGAACAATACACATAAAAATGTTTAATAAGTGATGATGAAATATGTAGATGAGTATTTGAAGAAAAACATCCTTATAAACAAGAACTTAAATTTAAAAACAAGTAAACATAAGTGAATACTTCTATTAAGTTGGCTAAGGTAAAGGGTTTCTAACATATTAAACATATTATTAAAATTCTTAAATATTAAAAATAAATTAAATTTGACTGAATATAAGTTTAAAATATGTCTACAGGATAGAATAGTGTATTTTAAATAAGGAGGAAAAACACATGCAAAGCAGAATTAGTGGTCTTACTGAAAACTTTTAATTCAATAAGAATAAAGACAGTAACTTAGTAGAAGATAAAGCAAAACTTACAAGTAACATTCACAATGAAATAGTCAAATTTTCCAATTAAACCATGAAAAAATATTCATCTTCATTAAGTCAAAGGCATAAAGATAACAGCAAAATATTAAGCTTCTCATGTGGTATTGGCAAATACTAAAAATTGACAATATTTAGTACTAGTAAGAAGGCACATTTATAAAAGTTTACTAGACTCTCACTATTAGATTTTAAGTATGTACCACTTTTCTCAGAAATTCCACTTTACTGTAAAGATAGCATTACAAAAATGAAATGCATATTCATGGGCAAGGAAATTTATCAAAATATTATCATTTATAGAAAATATGGCAACATGATAAACATCTATTGATATGGGATTTCAAATAAATTATTGTACGTACATATGAGCTACGCAAGATTACAAGAGCTGATTTCAATAGTTATGACAATGTTAGAGGAGAAAGTAAGAAACCCGTCACAGTTAGGGTGGATCCTTGGTAAAACTCCTTCAAAGAACATCCTGAAAATCAAACTGCTGGCCCCTGATAGGAAAGAGCCCACGTCCTTGAATGGAAATGCTTACTCTGTGAACCTAGAAGAAAAAATTCCACTCTCTCTTTGGAGACATTTCTCTTTCCTTGACATGCCTAAGTCTCTTACTTTTCATCTATTGGCCTCTTACTTTTCACCATTTGACATACGCCTACCTTTCTGTAATTGTCCGTGGGCTAAGTCTTCATTTAAACAAGGCGAATCGTCACTGCAGCCCCTGATTGATCCTGGGCCAAGGTCCTGGGCTAAGCTTTTATTTCAGCCCCTAATTGGTCCCAGGTCAAGCCTTCACCGCTGCCTCCAATTGGTTCTTTACCAACTTTCGCTCCAGCTTCACCCTTTCTGTCCACGCTCCTTAAGTTTCCTGATCATGAGAAAAATAACTCCAGGTAATACCTCAAACAAGGAGAGTCTGCTACACTGTAGTGCATTGGCGAGACCTTAACAACAGTATTGCCTTAAGCACAGTTAAGGTTACTGTCTTTTTAAAACTGATAAAACTACATACAATCAAATATGCAGTTGAGGAATATGGTCCCCAGATACCTGTCATGTTCCTCAAACACACATACTCCTTTATCAAAACTGAAATCCATTTCCATTCCTACTCAATCCCTGAGGGATGAAGATGATGAACTTCCTACTTTATTTACCTAGTGGGGGAAGTGTATTCTGCTTCTGGATAATAAATACATCATCTGTTGCCTGTGTACATTTTTAAAAATATACAATCTGCAGCACATTAGAAAAAACTTTTTTAAACATGAGAACTTAGAGAAAGAAATAAGCAGATCAAAGATGATTCAAAGTCAGTAAAGAATCTAAAATAACTAGGAAAATAAACTTACCTTTGTTGAAGCAACAATAAAACTGACAACCTAAAGTCTCAAAAGTATAACAGAAGCAATAGAATGACATTTTTAAAGACTAAAAATAAAAGACTGTCAATGTACAATTCTACTTTCAGTAAAAATATGCTACAAGAATAAATGAAAAATTATTCTTGAGAATGGCTAGTTGCTTCTATTGAGCTGTTAACCTTTAGAAACATAACAATTATGAAAGCTTGGAAGTTAGAAATTTAAAAAATAATATTTGAGGCCCTAGAGAACAATGAAACTAGGCAGATGCTGGCAAGTAGACTTGGTTGAAAGGAAAGAAACTAGGAGTCTTGATATTGAATGGTTTTTCTTTGAAGACACTTCCCAGTTTGCAAGGGGCACATGAGAGAGAAAGGCTTAATGAGAAAGTGAAAGTCTTATGGAACTTAAAATGTAGACATTGTGATGCCAGAGAAGCTGGAAGTTAGGGAGAAATCCCAGACAGGAAACATAACACAGGAAAAAACACAGGAACTATGTACAGTTTACCCTCAAATCTTCACTGACTCTTACATTATACATGCATAGGATGTACAAAGGCCCCAAAAGAAAGCGCAGATGGAAGATGAAGATTTCTGCAGCTGCTTGATGCTAGATATATTTGTAGTTTAGCTGCTACTATGTTAAGTTAGAAGGGCTTGGAAAAACCGTTGGGCTCGTCATTGACTCAGCAGTGCCAGAATTTTCCAATAAGTCCAGGACAAAGGAGTATAACTGAAGTAAACCTATTACATTAAAGGCAACAACCATTACTTCAAAGAATGAGATAATTTACCAGTACTTTAACTTCCTTCTGGAATAAAAACCAGCATCTTATGTAAGAATTCAGAATAGTTCAACACTATCCCATAGGCAATTAAAATATGGAAAAATAATACATAGGAGCAGAAACATTCAATAGGAGTAGCTCCACTGTTGCTCCATATGTTGTGAATACCATACAGGGATTTCAAATGAGCTATTATCAATATTTTAGATGATTCATGAGGAAAAATAAAGGTGGAAAAATATATTCAACCATGAAGTGGTTGAATATATGGGGAATTGCAGCAGAGAAGTGGACACACTTCTATCAAAACTTCCTTTGTTTTGAGAGCCCATTATGTAAACTTAGCAAAAATCTATAATCATGAGTAAACAAATATCGTCTTATATTTACTTTTTAAAAATACCATAATTAATTTGATCAAAAACAGTCAAGAGATTTATATAGTTTTTGTGACTGGTTTATGATAGAGTATGACCTTTTAACCTAGTAATTATCAAAGACAAAAAGCTAGTCTCTGTCAGAGTGATGTTGGTACAGACCTTGTATGGTGTGAGAAATATGAATACATAAATTTAGAAATATATCAGTTATTCTGGGGGACGCAAAACTGACACAGGGACTTTCATAATATGGTAATAATTTCTATCTCCTCAATTAGCTAGGCTGAATTAACTAAAAATCCCATAGTTAGGTATTTTTTGCAATGTATTTTTGGAAGTAGGTCACAAGAAGAACTCGAATACCATAAATTCTATCAACTTATTAAGGACTAGACCTGCACCACAATTGGATAGATCATGAGCTCGTCAATAGCTGTTGAGTGGTTTCAGACAAATATAAAATATTTAAAGTTGCCAGAATGTACTGGTTATCTTTTCAATAAAACACAAATCATATTTTAATTATTTTTCCAGGGTTCCTGAAACTTGTTTAGGATTGCAACTTTCATCGTTATTGAGCTATATTTTTTATTTTGTAAGTTGTAGAAAGCTGAAAATAATGCAAAGTATTCTTGTTTGTATAAATGCAAACAAAATGTGTTTGGTGGAATGCAATTGATCACTGTTCAATGGGTATTGGATAGTTTAGCCTTTCTTTGTAAATTCATTTCAGCACTCCCTATAGCCTGTATATATTTGGTTCTTTAATTTCTCCTTTGAATCCATTGTAGCATCTTACTGGATTTCACTTTAATTAAAGAATTAATTAAATATATTAAATCATTCATACACATCCATTTTATATTTATATGAGAATCATAATTGTACCTTCTTTAAACAAATTATACTTTAATTGTCTGGATTCCTGTGTAGCCACTCTTTGTGTTAATCCATGGCCTAATTAATTAATATTCGCAAATTCCTTATCTACAAAGTAGATTTAAAATACATCCCTTACAGTGTTGATATGCAATTTAAATGAGGTAACTATATAAAGAGATTTTCATAGTGTCTGGTAGCTGCATAGCTACTAAAAGTTAGTTTTCTTTTCTTCTTTGTATACCAAAAAAACCATATTTTCAGATATATTAAATATGTTCAGTATATATTTATTTTAGTTGCCAATGAAGAGAAATTGGGAAAGCTGAGGTTTTTAAACAAATTAATAAATGTAGGTAAAAGGTAGAGTGAGTGGTTTATATAGATTTTACATAACCTATTAAGTATTTTAGAAGACAAGGCCACTGATAATGATTAAGCCTTTTCTATTTCCCTCCCCAGCCTTGGCTGACTAACACAAGCACATAGTTTATTGCTTATTCAAAATAAAAATGAACTAGAAAGTATGATTCATACTCAATTTCATTTATTTCATTGCAATGAGCGAATGCTACACATTTAGATATTATTACTTTCAATATCTCAACTTTTGATTTTTTTAGTTTTTAAAACTATAATTAACAAATTGAATAATGCAAAATAATATAAACAATGAGATATGAAGCGTAAGTCGGCATACAAATGGAAGGGCTGGAGAACAATGGAAACACTTTTGGAACACAAATGCAAAGAAAAATGTGCCCCAAAGGTTAATGACAAAGTGTCAACATTTCAAAAAGTTACAAATGCCAGAGGTAGAAAAAGTTTTCCTGAGGTGCTATTTGAGCCCTGGTTGTGAATTGTTGCTTCGAATTTTACCTAATTCTTTATTTGGACATTAATCTACTGTGTTAAAATTATCTAGTCATTTATCTGGAAAATATATGGTAATATATTTATGGTAAAAGAAAAATATATATATATATATTTGAGAGTTTAGATTTCTGTTAGGAACACATTTGGTCTAGGTATATACAGATACATACACCCATGCTTTAGCTTGAGATGCTGTCAGTCTTCTCCACAAGGCAGAGATAGAAACAAATGATTGTAACATAATATGATGCCAATAACCATGAAATACCAGGTATAAAGAGTGCAGAGAGAATAAATAGTTGATTTTCTAAGGACAGGAAATGCTTTGAGGAAGAGGTCATCTAGAATTAGAGCGTATAATAATTTTAAAAACATTTTTTTCAGAAATCTTTTATATGTTTTCTAATCAAAAAGTAAATATAGTCCAACTCTGGTACATTGTTTCAGATTGAAAAAATTTAAATTCAGCAAATTTTCTTCTCTGATCTCTTGGGAATCATTTATTGTGAGATAGGCAAACAGTAAAGTAAGAATGTTATAAAAAATTTTCAAAGCCATTTCTATTCTGAAACAAAGTCATTAAAAACACACAAAAAAAAGACAAAAGAAAGTATCACTCTTTAATATTTGACAATTTTCTTTTTATTTAATAAACTTTATTTTTTAGAATAGTTTTAGGTTTGCAGCAAAATTGAATGGAAAGTGGAAAGTTTTCAATTTTCCTCAGTGTGGATTTACACAACAGAATAATACATTTGTAACAATCTATGAATCTACAGTGACACATCACTGTCGCTCAAAGTCCGAAGTTTACATTAAGTTTACCACTTGTGTTCTACATTTTATGTTTTATGGGTTTTGGCAAAGTTATGTACCATGTATTTACCACCTACAGAATAGTTTCACTGTCCTAAAAACTTTTATGTGTTGCCTAATTCATCCCTCCCTCTCTTCTAACCCCTGTCAGTCACTGATCTTTTTGATGGTTCCATAGTTTTGCCTTATCCAGAAAGTTATATAGTTGGAATCATATAGTCAGTAGCCTTTTCAGATTTCCTTTTCACTTAGTAGTATACATTTAAGTTTTCTCCATTTTTTTATTGTTTGATAGCTCATTTCTTGTTAGTAATGAAAAATATTCCATTGTTTAAATGTACCACAGTTTACCCACTTACCTACTTAAGCACATCTTTGTTGCTTCCAAGTTATGGCAATTGCCCATGGGCAGGTTTGTGTGTGGAGAGAAGTTTTCACTGCATATGGGTAAATACCAAAAAGTGAGATTCCTGGATCTTGTGGTAAGAGTACGTTTAGTTTTGTAAGAAACTGTCAAACTGTCTTCCAAGTGGCTGTACCGTTTTGCCTTTCTACTGACAATAAATGATAATTTGTCTGCTTTACACCCTCATTGTTTGGTGTTGTCATTGTTTTGGATTTGGGCCATTCTAGTAGGAATGTAGTTGTATCTAATAGTTGTTTTAATTTGCAGTTCCCTAATGACATATGATGTTGAACATCTTTTGATATGCTTTCTGGCCATCTGTATATCTTTGTTACAGGTGTCTGTTCAGATCTATTGCTCATTTTTAAATCAGGTTGTTCATTGTCTTTTCATTGAGTTTTAAGTGTTCTTTGTGTATTTTGGTTAATAGTCCTTTATAAGTCATGTCTTTTGCAACTATTTTCTCCCAGTCTGTGGCTTGTTTTCTCATTTTCTTGACATTGTTTTTCTTTTGCAAAGCATAAATTTTAAATTTCAGTGAAGTCCAGCTCAATTGTTTCCTTCATGGATTGAACCATTTTTGATTTAACTAAAACGTTATCACCATGCTGAAGATCACCTAGGTTTTATCCTATATTATTTTCTAGAATTTTTATAGTTTTGTGTTTTATAATTAGGTCTATTATTCATTTTGTGAAGGTTATAAGGCACGTGGCTGAATTTATTTTTTTGAATTTGGATGTTTAATTTTTACAGCATGGTCTTTCAAAATGACTACGTTTGTTTCACTGTTTTGCCTTTTTTTTAATCAAAGGTCAGTTAAGTGTATTCATTTCAGTATTGTTCTGGGTAATAGTTATATGTGTGTGTGTGTGTCTGCATAAGATTTTGAACTTTGATACTTTGCTTGTACTCTTATATAATAATAATTTATGAAATAGTTGCCTAGTTGTAACTGCATTTTGATAAAACTAAAATTTCTTCAGTAGATACAATGTTAGTAAGCAAGTTATTTTATGATTTATGTAACATTTTATTTTCTTTACTATTTGAGAATTTCCCAATTATTTCAACTTCAAAGATTTTAAAATTCAATAAACTATGTCATTTATGAACTGAAATCTTAATAATGCTGAAGATTTAGTAAATATACAGTATACCTAGTTGAATTTTAATTTCTGATAAACTATAGTTTGTCAGAAATTAAACTATAAATTAAACTTAAACTATATAGTATAAGATGTTCCAAAATTGCATGAAACATACTTACAAACGAAAATCATTGTGTATCTGAATTCAAATTTAACTGGGCATTCTGCATTTTATCTGTCAATCCTTAGACACTTTACCAAACAAAAATATTTTATCTTACTATTCATATTGCAGTTCAGTATTTTAAATTTTTCACATAAATGAAAACACCAAATGGTAACGTGAAATGACAGAATAGAAATAAATCAAGTTATAAAGATTTATCTTCAAAATTATTGCACTAGCTTTGCTTATTTAAAATCTCCTGTTTAAATATAAAGGTATGTAGAAGCATGGGGTTCAAGACATAAAATTATGTGAAAAGTGAGCTTGAAAGACTTAACAGCTGTGGTCATGTTCTCAAAAGAAATGGGTCTGGTTGAGCCTTTGTTTGTTAAAGGGCCAACTGTATAACTGAGAGTTATCTAAAGTAACTTGTTACGTAGAATTCAATTTTGCTAGTTAATTAATAAAAAGTGTCCTAGTGTGTACTTTACATTGGAACTGGTTTGTTGGTTTATTGCAGTAAAAATGGCCACTTGAAAACAATTTTGAGTATGTGACAATTTCCTGTTAAGAAATCCCATTTGAAATTTGCGATTCTCTGTTTTGTGTAACTGAAACAGTCTCCGCTTTACATATTCCACTAACATGTTAGTACTTTTTAATTTTACTGTCATAGCTTTGCCTCTAAGAGAATTTACATTTTAATCATCTGGAGTTGAAAATTTGCTTTTACGTTGATATAAATTCTTTCCCAGAGGTTACCATTTCTAAAATTTCATAGAAATGTAGTGCTGAGAACGTTTTGAATATTACAGACTTGCTTGTGTGGAAATAAATGAAGATCACCCTAATTAAAACAAACAAATGCCATTTATTCATAGGTTGCTCTACCAGGGGAGTCAGCCACCATCCCTTACATTTGGCAGAGACTCAAAGGCAAACAGAGGAGTGTCTCAGTCTGTTTGGGATGCTATAACAAAATACATCAGACTGGGCAATTTATAAACAGCAGAAATTTATTATTCACAGTTCTGGAGGCTGGGAAGTCCAAGATCAAGGCTCCAGTAGATTTGATGTCTGATGAGGACTTGCTCTTTGCTTCAAAGATGGTGTCTTCTCACATGGTGAAAGAAACAAATGGGACTAGATAACTCCTAAAGCCTTTTTTACAAAGACTCTAATTCCATTCATGAGGGTGGAGTCCTCATTACCACATCAGTTCCCAAAGGCACCATATCTCAATATGATCACATTGGGAATTAAGTTTCAACACATGAATCTTTGGAACACTCAAACATTCAGACCATAGCAGGTAGTATAAAAGTTTTAAAGTGGAGAAAAAGGAAGATTTTAGATATTCTCATTGGAAGTTGTTGCCATGCAAAAGCCAGAGGTGAGCTGATTAGAAGCAAGGCATCTTGTGTAATTGGTTATGGGAATATATTTAGGTTTCTGTTGTTTTTTAGTTGGGACGTCAGGCACACATTAGGAGAGCTGGAAGTTGATTATGTCCTGACAAGCTGACTAAATTCTGACCTGATCTGACTGCTACATGGACTGTGGTTTGATCTTCTGTACTGCTTGCTACGCATTGTGGGTGGGAATCCTATTTTTAAATGCACTCTCGCCATTGTCCATTTGTATATTTAAACTCTCACTTTTCTTTGCCTTTCTTCACAGATGAAGAAACTGAGGCCCTCAAAAGAAATATTATTTAAGATTTACATAGATCCTTAATTCCATTTTGTGTTTGTTTTATTTATTCATGTAAGAATTGTTATCCAGTTACAAAGGCTAAACACATATGTAGGCTGAACAAGAGCAACAAGGTTCCTACTGTCATGAATCTAACATTCTTTTCAGAGAAATAAATACATAATATAATGTAATGTCAGGTTCAGTTATTCCAACCATATCACACTGTATCACATGCTTCAGATGCATTCATTGTTCTCTACATTTTTTTGCTATTTTTTTTCTCAGAAAGAGACTGCACTAATCATATTTTGTTGACAGGATCTTAATTGTACAATATTAAAAGCAGCTGTGTGTCTACTCAATTAGGGCCTCATATTTGTCATCATTTTTCCCCAGAAGTGAATTAAACATTAACATTAGCTACTGAGGAAATGTGCTCACATAGGCACTTCTGCTCTTTACCTCTGTCGCTTTTTAAGTGTATCAAATGGATACACTCAGGGAAATGAATTTGTTTCATTGCCAGATCTTTTGGCATATAACACTAATAAGATGCTGAAATAAAAATGTCTTTAGATCGTTTTTTTTAATCCTTGAGATTTTTATGTGCATATATATGATGCAGCCACCTTGTCTTTATAAAATGAAGGTGGAAGTGGTGTCAAAGATGTTTTTTGTAGAGAAGCCACTTCTTATTCCCTTAAATCTTGAGAGATCACAGTATGGGTTATGTGAGTGGCTATGAATGTTTTAAAGAAGTTAGACAAAATGAGGAAAAAGTCATGAAAGTCCAGAAGCTCATGATGGGTTAGGACATTGATTTGCTAAATGAAGTGGAGAAGTGGTTATCAAACACTAATGCGAGTCAGAATCATGTTCTGACTCAGTAGGACCAGAGAGAAGCTCTAAAATTTGCATTTCTGACAATTCAGCATAGGTTCCTGCTGCTGCTGCTGCTCTGGGCACCACATTTTGAAAACCACAGGACTAGAAGACTCATTGTGCAATATAAATCCCTCTGCTTTGGAAATTCAAGCATTCACAATAGTTGCAGTAACTGAAAACAGTTTGGGATTGGACCAAGTAAGGTACAGATACTAAGGATGAGATCAATTTTAGTTTTGGCTTGACATTGTGAAAGAAACATAATTTTGCCTTTTAGGGGTAATTACATTTTCCAAAGTTAATATTTGGAACAAACGGGCTTTTAAGGAGAGAACCAAGACTGCTTTCTTACTAGTAAGAGATCTAACATCATATTTATACAGGTGACATTAATACATATAAAGCTATTGAAGTTTTAAATATTAATTTCCATAAGCCAAATGGGTTCATTTTACAGCTTGATTGAGTATAATCAAATTCTCATTACATTTAAACAAATAAAACTTTCTGGACTAAATATAAGGTAACAACTTCAATTTCTAAAATAAATGTTCTTTACATATTTTGTGGGTAAAAGAAGATTGAAACAAAAAAGCTTTTTAGAGTTTAAATGGTAATCTTAATAAACTGTTTCCTTTATCAGAAAGGTTCATTTATTATTTAAGAAATATTGAAAGAATTGTAAACATAATTACAAAGTGGGAGTATGAATTTAAACTCAAGTAAAAAACTTTGCCCAATCTAATTAATAATGTTTATTTCTTGAACCGCAGAGGTCACTGGAATGTAAATATTACATAATTGTCTCACCTATATTTTAGTAGTATAAATTTCCAAGTTCTTTCTTCAGTAAGATTATTCATTGTAAACCTTAAGTCATTGTACTTATAATTTCTCTTTTCTTTTAAATTCACCTAAAGATAAATAGAATAACTTGCAGACTTTAACTTTTTACTTGCAAGTATATGACAAATGTAAACAGCAAGACTGAATTTAACGTCTCCCTTTAGACTGTTCTGCTTTTTTGGTTGCATTTATCAGACTATACTTATTAAGGAAGACTTCTGAAGCTCAAATTTTCAACAACCTCAGGATCATCTATGTGTAAAATCCCGTGGATTATACAGTCTTATGGAAAATTTAAGTCTACTGAAAATAGAAATGTATTTCACAATTCTGAGTATGTACCAGTCACATTCCTAAATACTTGGAATCCCATGAAAATTGACTCTGTATACTCACTATACAGAATTCTGAGAAATTCAACCTTATGTTATATGCAGCCATTACACTTAACTACAGTGCCACAAACATTTGGAGAGCTTTCATGCTGTCTGAGCAGAAACAAAATAAGAAGCTAGAGATATCTGAACATTATGTTTCCAACTGGATACTCACTCGACCAAGTACCCCAAATCAGCCTTCTATATCCCTGTGGTCAAATGACAACCCAGGCTTCCTTTCTGTGGCTCCAAGGAACATGCCTCCTGTTTAGATTCTGTGTCAAAGTACCTCCACATCAGAAGTCTGTAGCCTCAGGTGCAGCTTTATGGACATAGGTTACAGTTTATTGTTAATTGCTGATAGTTCCCCCAACACAATGATTTCTTCTATAACTCTCAAGGAGAAACTCCCTGCATACTGGGGCAACTGTAGTTTGCCCACTTAGCAAACAACAAATGTACACTTTAAGTGGTTTCATTCCGACTCTAAGCATGTTAATATTCCTAAACAATGAACTCTGAGAATCTTGCTTGCCTTCTGGTTAGGTGTGTTGGTGGCAAATGGAGGCAGACATTAAACAAGGGAAAGTAAAATTATTTTCCCCATTCATCAATACCAGATGAAAATAAATACATAATAATAAATCAGTAAATGATCCCTTGCCACTGTGGTGTGTGTATATGTGTGTGTGTGTGTGTGTGTGTGTGTGTGTGTCTGTGTGTGTGTCCTACAGCCTAATGGAAAAGGGGATGCAAGGAATAGAGGAAAGGAGAAAGAAGGGAAGAAAGAAAAACAGAAAGGAAGGAAGAAAGGAGAAAAAAAGAACTAGATATATAGATTAATAAAATTATTCTATTCAGGGTCTCCTATCTTCCTCTCCTAAAATAAAAGTAGTTTCCTCTGTCAAACAACTTTGGATGGAGGACTTTTCTGTTTGAAGTGATCTGAGTAAGATGTTCACTAATTGGACAGTATTTCCACAATAATTCATAGCTGGGGGCCTTTATTCTTATCTTGAATTTTTCTGTCCTTTTTTAACAAATACAAATAAGTCTTCAGAAGTGGGACACCTCAGGATTCTCTGTCAGAAGACAAGTGTTCCTTCATCTCGATACCATATGTTCACATAGTTCACAGTAATAACATGACTCTTTCCAACCTTATTTTTGAAATGGCTCAAGAGATGAAAGAAAAATATGCTTACCCTGTGATTTTGTGTTTTTTAAATGACTCTTATGTTTCTTTTATTTTTCTTCAGGGAGAAAATGATAGGATATATTCTTGGTCAGTGAAAATAAGGACATAAACCCAAATAGATTACACATTTAAATTCCTTACTATGTGTATATCTCAATATGGCTAATGTAAATATAACAAACCAGTGTCTAAAACTTACATGATCTTTGTGTAGAAGCCTGAGAATCAGAAGCTTGGTGGTATTTAATTGTGTTTAAAATTTTTATCATCTAAGAATTTCTGCTTTTGTTGTTGTTTATCTGTTTTTGTTTTTTATTGAGCACAGTATTTGGCACATTTTAAAAATGAACATAATATTTTATGAATAAAAAATTGAATAAATTATCTTGTGTTCAGCTGAACTGAGCAATCTTCTACATTTCAAACCTATCCCTTCATTTCTCCTTTGTAACTAGATAGCACAACTATTATTATTTTAAATAGTTTGTTCTATGTGTGTCTTCTCTGATTGACTATGATTTCACAAGGGCATCGCCTGAATCCAGCTTCTTAACAGTGTTGTCATCAGAGCCCAAAGAGATAGCTGATGTTCAATAATGATTGAATGAATTTTTGTTCCTTTCAGTGGTGAGATGAAGAAGTGAATGAAGAATGAACAAAGGCCAAAATCAGAGGTGAAGATTCTGATTTTGGGTTTTCCTGAAATATCTTTTTAAAAATTTATCTCACTTTACTTCATTTTGCCATTGCAGATACTTTCTCTTCTTCTAGGCCCATCTCACTCTTTTATTCCCAGTGTGGTTAACCTAGTCAACTATGGGGTTTTCCAGATGGAGACTTTTCTAGCACTTACTATCATATATATGCATGTATATATATGTGTGTGTGTGTGTGTGTGTGGGTGTGTATATATATATATGTGTGTGTGTATATATATCCGGTACTTCTTTTTTGGGAGAAGTCTTGGGCATATCCTTGTATCTTCTCCTTTGTCCACGCTTCATCTCTTCAACTATATTATCAGTTTCTTAGATTTAGTTAGTCTGTTAGAACTTCTAAAGATGTTGATATGGTTTGGCTGTGTTCCCATCCAAATATCATCTTGAATTGTATTTCCCACAATTCCCACCTGTTATGGGAGGGACTTAAGGAGGTAATTGAATCAAGGGGGCCAGTCTTTCCTGTGCTATTCTCATGATAGTGAATAAGTCTCACAAGATTTGATGGGTTTATCAGGGGTTTCTGCTTCTGCTTCTTCCTTATTTTTCTCTTGCCGCTGCAATGTAAGAAGTGCCTTGTACCTCCCACCATAATTTTGAGGCTTTCCCAGCCATGTGAAACTGTAAGTCCAATTAAAGCTCTTTTTGTTTCCAATTTGGGGTATGTGTTTATCAGCAGTGTGAAAATGAACTAATACAGTAAATTGGGACCAGTAGAGTGGGGCATTGCTGAAAATATACCCAAAAATGTGGAAGCGACTTTGGAACTGGGTAACAGACAGAGGTTGGAACAGTTTGGAGGGTTCAGAAGACAGGAAAATGTGGGAAGGTTTGGAACTTCCTAGAGACTTGTTGAATGGCTTTGACAAAATTGCTGATAGTGATATGACCAATAAAGTCCAGGATGAAGTGGTCTCAGATGGAGATGAGGGACTTGTCGGGAACTGGAGCAAAGATGACTCTTGTTATGTTTTAGCAAAGAGACTGGTGGCATTTTGTCCCTGCCCTAGAGATCTGTGGAACTTTGAACTTGAGAAAGATTATTTAGGGTATCTGGAGGAATAAATTTAAAAGCAGCAAAGCATTCAAAAGTTGACTTGAGTGCTGTTAAAAGCATTCCATTTTTAAAGGAAAGCAGAGCGTAAAAGCTCAGAAAATTAGCAGCATGATGATGAAGTAGAAAAGAAAAATCTGGCCCGGGTGCGGTGGATTATGCTTGTAATCCCAGCACTTTGAGAGGCCAAGGCCGGGGGGGTGGGGGGTGGATCACGAGGTCAGGAATCGGAGACCAGCCTGGCCAACACAGTGAAACCCGGTCTCTACTAAAAAATACAAAAATTAGCTGGGCGTGGTGGCAGGTGCCTATAATCCCAGCTACTTGGGAGGCTGAGACAGGAGAATCGCTTGAACCCAGGAGGCAGAGGTTGGGGTCAGCTGAGATTGCACCACTGCACTCCATCATGGGCAACAGAGCTAGACTCCGAAAAAAAAAAAAAAAAAAAAGAAAAAAAGAAAAGAAAAAGAAAAGAAGAACCCATTTTTTGAGGACAAATTTAAACTGGCTGCGGAAATTTGCATAAGTAGCAAGGATCCTAATGTTAATCCCCAAGACTATGGGGAAAATGTCTCCAGGCCATGCCAGAGGCCTTCATGGCAACCCCTCCCATCACAGGCCCTGGAGGCCCAGGAGGAAAAGTGATTTCATGGGCAGGCCCAGGGTCCCTGTGCTGTGTGCACCCTAGGGTTTTGGTGCCCTGTGTCCTAGCCCTCCAGCTGTGGCTGAAAGGGGCCAACATAGAGCTCAGGCTGTGGCTTCAGAAGGTGGAAGCCCCAAGCGTTGGCAGTTTCCATGTGGTGTTGAGCCTGTGGGTCCACAGAAGTCAAGAATTGAAGTTTGGGAACCTCTGCCTAAATTTTAGAAGATGTATGGAAATGCCTGGATGTCCAGGCAAAGGTTTCCTGCAAGGGTGGGACCCTCATGGAGAACCTCTGCTAGAGCAGGTCAGAAAGGAAATGTGGGGTCAGAGCCCCCACACAGAATCCCTACTGGGGCACTGCCTAGTGGAGCTGTGAGAAGAC